>NW_021160014.1:0-264228 GCF_000001405.40 Homo sapiens
GGAGAACTTATTTTGACTTTGATATTGTTTATCTTCTTTAAATATGTACTTAGTTCTTCAAATTAATTTTATTTTAAAATATTCCATATTTTATTCTGTATATCTACAAATAAATATATTGTATATATTTATTTATATTTGTAAAACTACTTTATACATATACTTGTGTATACACATATGTGTATATACTGTATTTGTATGTATGTGTATAGACTGTACATATATACACTCATGTATAATATATACATAAAAGTACATATATATTATACACACACACACATACACACACATATGCAGTCAGTCTTCAGTGTCCATGGGGAATTGGTTTCAGGACCTCCTGCGGGTACCAAAATCCACAGATGCTGAAGTCCCTTATATAAAATGGTGTAATATTTGCTTATAACCTATGCATATTCTCCTGTATACTTTAAATCATCTTGTAATACAATGTAATGCTGTGTAAATCGTTGTTATACTGTATTGTTTAGGGAATAATGACCAAAAAAGTCTTACATATTCAATACGGATGCATTTTTTTTTCAAACTTTTTGATCCACAATTGGTTGAATTCATTGGTGTGGAACCCATAGATATAGATGACTGACTACATATAAAAATGAAAGTAAAATTAAATTATAAAGTGATAAAAAATAATTTTTAAATATATGACATAAACAGTTTAACAAAGTAAAAGGTTTAGGAAAAAGTAGAAAAAAAAGTTTAAAGTTAAAAATAAAATTCTACCACAGCAATAGCATACAAAATGACAAGGTATCATCGTGATCAGAAGAAAGAATTCACCTAGACTTGGCAATTGTTTTGTTTTCCTTTTATTGCCTGAAGTAGTATTATGCTAAAGAAATGGCATTTCTAATCTCAGTTTAGTTAGGTATCTATTTTATATTCTGAAGTACAAATAATATAAAATAAAATCAATGAATAAATTATACCTGAAAAACAACTTTATTTCTCAACTCAGAGGTGGCCATAAATTGAGGAGAGATTCATTTATAATACCTCAATGAACTGAAATTTAATAATGTTTTGTCAAATAGATAGTAGTCTTCAAAATATTATGTGATCCTTGCTGAGGTAAAATGATGGGAAGTTTGATAACATGATTTTCCAATTTAATATTGTTTCTAAATGAATTTTCAAATACATAACATTTGAAAATCAATATAGGTTTTCTGATATATGATGTTTATTTTCCCAGTTTTTGAGAAATTTTGCTAAAATGTATTCATAGTATATGCTAAAGTAGATTTTCTAGACTAGATTTAAGGATTTTTTTTACAGTAATGATATAAAGTGAGATAACCTTCAGATGTATGTTTTAAGCTATCAGTATTTCTTACATTTGTCACAGCTTGTTTTTGCCCTTAGATTTACTGTAGCAGTTTCTTTGGTGAAATCTGGGCATGTATAAGGTGTTTCTGAGGTTTACCCACTGTTGAAAAACATTCTGTATTCTAGGTTTTTGCAATTCCAAATACAGATCACAGAATAGTTGGTCTCAGCATCATCTTGGGGGCTTGTTGGAAATGGCGAATATTAGGTCCCGTTTCAGAATACTGCAACAGAATCTCTAATAGTAACAAGATCCCAAAGGATTTATACAAATACACACACAAACACACTTTAGCAAGCACCTAGGACCAACCCCATTAAACATTACTTTGTAGGACTTCTAAAACCATTTACTAAAATCAGTGGCTTGATTTTTCATGATAATGAACTTCAAGGTTAATTGAAATCTAGATGTCATTACTTCCTTGTTTCTCTTCCTTGGTAGGAATGATTATAGAATGTTTTTCTAAGAATATCGTAGACACAAAATTTATGTTGTCAAATGAATGGAGTCGTTTTGTTGACACTACTAGTATGTAGATATCAGTATGTTTTTTGATAGGTATCAATAAGGCACAAAACAATTTCAGAATAAAGTTTTCAGAACCAGCTGCATTTCTGACAGTCATTTCACTGCAGGTGGCTTCTGAATCATTTGATATTGAGATGGTAGTAAATCTCTTGTTCTGTGGCCAACCTCACTACCCAGGGCTATTTTTCCAGAAGAGACAATGCTGAGCAGGAAATATCTGCTTCTCTGTTCCTTGCTGTCCTCTCGGAATCTCATCAGCTGTTGCTATATAAAGACTTCATAGCTGTGTATTTCAGAAACTTTTGTCAGCTGTTTTATTATCATACAGATCCTCAGCATAATTGTCAATAGACCATGCATACTTGCCATCATCCTAAGATTTACTAGCTTTCATTTATTTATCAATCCAATGAGACCACTAATAGTCCTGATACTCTCTGAGCTTTTCCCCATCACTTGGTCTTCAAATGATTGAACTGTCTGTAGACACCACCATCTCAAGAACTCAGAATCTTTCAGGGGTAACAAAGTCTTATTTCTCTAGGTCAATAAAGGCTTTTGAGAGAAGACTTTTCAACTAATCTTACATGAAATATGAAAAAGGATTTCTCAACTCTGATATGGTAGTTTTATTTTACCCAAGATAAAAGCCAGTTGTTTTTTAAGTGGAACAAAGCGCATCACTTTGGCTGTTATCTGTCCCCTTTCCAGACTGGAGTTAGGCTCAGCTCAAACCTACATAATTCTCCATTTCAACAACACACTCGTGAGTTGAAACAAAATTAAATGGAGTGTCTTCACCTTTGAGTTACAAAATTATGTCCTATACTGCATTGCTATATTATTACTTATTTTTTTCCAAGTAAAACAACTTGTGAACTACAAAATTGCATGACTAGAGAAATAACAAAACCCCACAAAAACAAAAACTGTCAATAAAAACCCAAAACCAAAACAAAGTGAAGTAACTTAGAAGATAGCAAGATTTATTATAAAAATATAATAATTTAGATAGGTGCTCTTTGACTCAGGAATTGACAAAGAAACCAAAGAAAACCTAGAGGCCCTAAAAGCAAAGTAATAGGTAATCAGATATTGACTTATGAGAGACAGGGCATTAAAAAGCAGTGGGATAAAATACCCTTTTTGTATAATTGTGCTGAAACAATTGGCAATCCATGCATGTAGAAAAATGTAATTGGGCTTCAACTTGACACCATACAAAAGGTAGATTATTAGATCTGAAAAGCAAAAGTCTAAAATTTAAGATAATATTATAGGAGAATTTTCATTACATTTTGACAGGGAAGAGATTTTTTAAGTAAAAAGCACTGACAGGAAAAGAAAGATGGGTAAATTTAACCATAAAAAATTAAAAGCTTTTTATCAAGAGATTATACACTATTGTGAAAGTGATAAAACAAGTCATGAAATCAAAAAAGGTATTTGTAAAATGAGTTTGACCAATACTTTGTATCCAGAACACTAAAAAAATGCTCCTACAAATAATTAAGAAAATAAAAGGAAACCTAGCTAGTAGGAAAGTGAATAAAGGGGAAAAATTCAAATGACATGTTAATGTATGGAATGGTATTTTGCTTTATTAGCAATTATTATGTGCAAATAAAAAATATTACATGGAGCAATATGCCCATCATATTGGAAAAATGAACTAGTTTGACAATAGGAAGGTTTCCTGAGCATATGAAATAATGGAACTTCCATGCCCTTGAGGAATTGGCATAACCACTTTGCAAAGTTTGGTATCATCTGATAAAACTGAAGATACATGTATTCATGGATCCACTAACTCTCTTTCTTATTGCATCTTCTCAAGATACGTATGTACGTAAAATAACATTATTTGTAAAAGTTCAAACTGGAAATCATCTATACTTTTATCATTCCTTAACTATATGATTGAATTATTATATAGTCATGGCATGGAAGACTACAGAGCAATGATTTTTTATTGCTATTCTTTTTTGTTGCTGACTAGTATTACATTGTATAGATATACCAGTTTCTTCTTTCATTTGCTGATTGAAAGATATCTTGTTTCCAATTCTTGGAGTGTATGAAGTGGCTAGTAACTGTGCTATATAGGTTTTTTGTGTGTGTGAATATAAGTTTTCTTTTCTCTTGGGTAAATGCCTACGAGTAGGGTTGCTTGATAATATGATAAATGTTTGATTAATTGCATGAAGAATGGCCAAACCATTTTTGAAAGTGGTTGTTCCACTTTACATCTAAGAATATATAAATATTTCAGTTGGGGGTTTTCAGCACTTCATGCTCTCTGTTTATTTTAATTGTTTTTTTTTAACCATTCTATAGAGTGTGTAGTGTTATGTCATATTTTTGATCTGCATTCTAACAACCAATGAAGTTAAGTACTCTTTTCAAATGTTTATTCGCCACCATATATCTTCTTTGGTGGTTTCTGTTTAGATCTTTTCCATTTTTAATTTATTTATTTTCCAATTGTTGATTTGTGAGAGTTTCCTATAATTTCTGGATGCAAGTCATGTGACAGAAATATATGCATTTAACAAGTATTTTTGTCCAGCTGTATCTATCTTTTCAGTCTTTCAACAATGTCTTTTCCAGACAGAAAGTACAATTTATATTTTCATTTATGAGTCATGCTCTCAGTGTCCTATCTAAAAACTCTTTGGGTCCAAATCCAAGATCACAAATATTCTCATTATAATCTTTTTCTAGATGTTTTATAACTTTGTGGTTTGCATTTAAATGTTGTAATACATTTTAAATTATTTTTTAGATAAGGTATAAGATGAATTGAGGTACACAGTTTTGTGTATGGATGTTCAAATTTTCAAGCAGCATTTCTTTTAAAGATGTATCCTTTAACCATTCACTTGCCTTTGCACCTAGAAAAAAATATCAGTTGACAGTGGAGGTCTATTCTGGGCTTTCTGTTCTACTCTATTGATTGATGTGTTCATCTTTTCATTAATATCACCCTACCTTGGTTTCTGTTTTTATCTGTATAATTGTTGATGTTTTTGCTTTATTTGGGTTTATTTTCTTAAATTTCTTATCATGGAAGCATAGATTACTGATTTAAGACTTTTCTTCTTTTCTAAAATAAACACTTAGTGCTGTACATTTTTCTCTAAGCATACCTCTAGTGGCATTCCAATCATTTTGATCTGTTGTATTTTCATTTACACTCAGTTAAACATAGAGTTGCATTTAATATTTCTTCTTTCATGCATAGGTTATTCAGAAGTATGGTGTTTAACTTCCAGGTTTTCAGGGGATTTTTTCAAATAGCTTTTCTTTTGTAATTGACATCTAGTTTAAGTATGTTATTGGAAACACACTTTGTTGAATTTCTATTCTTGTACATCTGTTAAGAATTGTTTTATGACCCAGAATAGAGCATATCTTGGTGATTGCTTCATCTGCACTTGAAAAAAAATGTATATCTGCAATTTTTGGGTATTCTTTAAATGTCAATTAGATCAAGTTAGTAATTACAACATTTAAAAAATCATAATGGTTGCCCTATGTTATACAATAAACATCTTTGATTAACCACTGCATCTTCAAATAATATGATATTTCACATATAAGTACTTCACAATGGTATATTCCTAATTTCGCTCTCCCATCTTTGTATTGTGGTTGGCATATATTTTACTTTTACATATGCTATAAATGTACATTTACTTTATACTATTTTTAACTTACATATCAGTTATCTTCTAAAGCAATGAAAAACAAGAAATAAGTAAAGAATTTTAAACTATTATTTATGCTAGTATTCTTTTTACTGTGCAGATCTGTACTGCTGTCTACATTGTTGTCTTTCATCCAAAGAACTTCGTTTAATATTTCTTATAGTGTAGGCTGGAAATGAATTCTTTCCATTTTTGTTTGAGAAAGACTTTACTTCTTTTTTTGGAAAGACATTTTGTTTTTACTAGATATAGTTAAATAGATATATTTCCTTTTGCTAGGCCTTCAGTATAGGTGTCTGAATTACTATAGTCAGAGGTTGGACTGGGCTTGAAATTTGTTGCTATAGTTACCCACAGTGCATCACAGACTTCAAATTCCTCTGGCAAAACCTTTGGTTTAGGATGGGGGCTAGTTGGCTTGAGGATTGTTTAGAGTGGGGACCAATTTACAATTTCTCAGTACCAGCTCCGTCTTCAACTTTCAGTCTTCCTTTTGTACTGTACCTCCATGAGATTTGCTTCTGTATTCATTATCCCAGTCATAAAGAGCATGGTGGAGGTGTTTTCTGATAATTTATTATTATGCCTTAATCTTAGGCAGTTTCTGTGTTTCTAAATATTAAGATTGTGGCCTTCACAATTTCTCCTGCCGTGCTTCAGCTGCAGCCTTTGGCTCAAGATGTTTTCCTCCCTCTCCCCAGGTGTTAGTGTTTTCTGGTTCCTTCTCCTTATTGCAGTTGTTTTTTCCTAGTGCCCTAAAGTTGACAGTCTTTGTTGTCTTCCCCCTATGAATTAAAAATGTGTTCCAAAAGAAATAAAATCGTTTTCAAAAAAAATTCTACAGCTATTTATGTCCTGTTATGCCTTTCCTAACTGAAGCCACAGAAAATGAAAACTTGCATCATACTTTCCCCCATCTCCAAGAATGAACTGCCCACCAGAGTCTGTTGCTTCTGTTCATTCTTCATGGACTTCAAGGTGCTGATTCGTATGTTATGCTGAGGTTTTACAGCTGTTTTCTGCAGGTAGATACTCCCATTACAGTCCTCTCCCTTCATTGCCCTCTGAATACCTGAATATGTTTTTCTATGGGTTTCTATTGCTTTTATCAATCTGACCTCATGGCTTCAGGAGTTATTTAGTTTCTAGATTTATAATTTTACCTTTCTTGTTTTTCAATGAGGAAATTATTTTGCCCTAAATATGAATATAAACATGAAAATAGACACAAATACAAACATTTATTTAAATTTGGCTGGGCGCGGTGGCTCAAGCCTGTAATCCCAGCACTTTGGGAGGCTGAGGCGGGCAGATCACAAGGTCAGGAGATGGAGACCATCCTGGCTAACAAGGTGAAACCCCGTCTCTACTAAAAATACAAAAAATTAGCCGGGCATGGTGGCAGGCGCCTGTAGTCCCAGCTACACGGGAGGCTGAGGCAGGAGAATGGCGTGAACCCGGGAGGTGGAGCTTGCAGTGGCGCCGCTGCACTCCAGCCTGGGCGACAGAGCGAGACTCTGTCTCAAAAAAAAAAAAAAAAAAAATATTTATTTGGTATATCTTGATCAGTCTCTTTCAAACCTTTTCTAAAACTATTTCCTCGTTTAAAATGGAAAGTGACATTACATCTCACTCCATAATCTAAAATGTTTACAATTCATTGCCCATTTCCCCAAAGCCTTTTAATTTCTCCAAACAGCTTTTAATTTCCAGGAAATGTTCCTAGATGTAAAATGTGACTTTATGAATAATTTCTGCATTTCCCTTTTGGGCAAGTTGCTGCTTGTCTGGCAAGCTTTAAAAGATATTTTCAAAAAAGACTTAAAAGGGAGCAGTAATTAGCTTTTTTTAACTTTGAAACATTCTGTTTGGATTTTGTTCCACATCAAGAATATTTTGTAAGGTATTTCAGAGGAAATTTATCTACCTCCCTTTTAAAAATGAATTTAATGCCATATGATACAATATCTATGAACGAGTTTAATTAAACCTTTTGCATTCGAAGATTTTATCTTGAAAACTTAAGGTAACCATGACACGTGACATGTTTTTACTAACTATGCTATTAATGGCTATAAATTAATTTATCTAGGATATTAATATTGAATGTACAATGTTAAAGATTTCTCAACAATCAGACATGTACTTTTAAAAAGATATTTTATTCATATTGCTTTACACTAAAATATTTTTATTACTTTACATATCTTAAATATTTTGATAGTTCACTTTATTAGTACTGTTAAAATTAGTGATATTAATCCTTGTGACCGACTTAAAGTTACATCATCTTTGTATACTGTTTATATAACTGTGCTCTTGTTATAATCCCCGGTCTGTACCTAAAATAATAAATGACTAATCACTAGTATACACAGCAGAACATTGGAAAATTGCATTAGCCCCATACTCAGAAAAAGACAATGCAGAAGAGAATCTTTCTGACTTACTTTGTGGTAGAATAGATCATCTATTATGTCTCCCTAAACACAAATGTTCCACCTAAATAGATGGACATTTTCTAATCAATTCCAGTGATTCGTTAAAAACATCTCTCCAAATGAATCAACATGGGAAGTATTACAGATGATAATATATTATATTTTAACATATTTAAATTTAATACTAGCTTGCATCTATTAGAGATAACATTTAAATAATTTAGCCTTCTTGCATAAATTTGCTACTAGTTTCTGATATAATTTTCAAACATTTGAAAAGAACTAATTGGATTTAAAGTTATTAGGTAGTCTTTAATGTATATTAAGACAGGAATTGCACTGGATTGCCAAAGTAATAAAACCACTCATAAATTGTAATAACAGGAAAATGAAAAGAATCAAAGAATGGACTATATAGCCCTGGGGTAGACAGCACTGAATGACAGTCCTTTTTGTGTCCATTGATTATATGATCTACCTGTTTTTAATTTAAAATAATAAATTTTAAATAGTACTTTGTTTCCATTATATATACTTGATTAAAATAAAATTTACTTAATTTTTTTTAGAAAATAATAAAGGCAATTGCACTGTACATTGAAACTCATACACAATGCAGCCCAAATATTACTCACAGAAATTTCTGCCTTTTAAACTATATTTTGCTAAAGGATGAGAGCAATTAAATTAATCACTGAAATATTTTAAAAGAACCAAACCTTATGAAAACTTAAGAAATTGGGATGAAATAAATATAAAATTACACATTGATTTAAAAAAGCAGAATTAATGAATAACTAATAACTGGTCCTCTGAAAGAAAAATTAGAAGAGTAAAGCCAGCATATCTCTGGAAAATGTGGTCATAGAAAATAAAACATACTCGAAAAATTTGGAATTTTTTTAATGCCAAGTTTTTAAAGAAAATTTAAAAAATAAAAAAAATAGGATACATATTTGTACTTACAAATATATTTAAATACTGAGGTACTCTCACTTCTAATAAGCTGATATTGCTTAGTGTTTGATATTTCATGCTTTATGAGCTGAAGATCTACCGTGAACGTTTGCATTCTGCTGATTTCTCTAGGTGCTTATTGAAATACTCAACTTTCATGATGCTCTGATGGCTTTGGCAGGTGAGAGAATAACTGCATCTGTAGTTTGCATTACTTTATTAGAGATGTTGTTTAGGGCCATAAAGTGTTACAGAATTTATTAATAGCTTATTCTGTTTTCAAAATTTATACATGCCTCTTTTCTTCCGGTGTATATCACACGAGAAAACAGTTACAGAGAGATACTTTCCATACTCCCCAACATTGTACCCCAAGCCACGCTGGCTGTGTTGTGGAATCAAAGCTTTTATGCCAAATTGCTTCCTGTTGATTTTTCTTAACCTACTCATTATCTCCTGTGATGGTTAATTTTGTGTGTCTACCTGACTAGATCAGGGATGCCCAAACTGACTAAACAGTATTTCTGGGTATGTGTATGTGACGGTGTTTCCACATGAGGTTAGCATTTGAAGTGGGTGAATTTGAATTCACTCAATGAAACTGACTGCCTTCACCTATGTGGATGAGCATCATCAATCTATTGAGGGCTTGAACAGAACAAATGGCAGAGAAAGGGAGAATTTGCCCCAGTTTCAGGCAAATGTGAGCTGGGACATCCATCTTTTTCTCTTGCCCTCAAAGCTCCTGGTACTCAGACCTTCAGACTGACTGGGATTTATACCATCAACTGTCCAGCTCTCATGGCTTCAAACTATACTACCAGCTTTCTTGCTTTCCAGCTTGCTGGTGGCAGATTGTGAGATTTCTTAGCCTCCATGGTCATGTGAACCAGTTTCTATAATAAATCTCATTATATATATATGCATATATAAGATTTATTTCCCATACATGTATCTATAAGCATATGAATATAGATTTATTTTATAGATATGTGTATATATAAATATATGTAAAATATATATAGATAGATATACAGATAGCAATTCTCCAGATTCTAATAATAATAGTAAAATAGATCATATAAGCCAGTATCAACTACAAGTCTTACACAATGATATCCTGGATAAGTTATTTTAATTAAAGAAATGTCAAGTAAATAATATATTTCTAAAGAAAAAAGGAAAAGACAACATTTTTATCTAGTTAGTCATTCAACTAAAATGACATCGTTGTACAAAATATTGCAAAAAGAACCTGGACATTCTTTTTATTTTTTGTTTTGTTTGGTTTCTTTGTTTTTGTTTTGGTTTGGTTTAGTTTTTTTGCTTAAACGATATGTGAAAGCATTTTTTTTTATCTTTTATTTATGTCTATTCACCAAAATGTTCTTGATAAATGGTCAAATGTTGATAGCAGGTATTGGAAAAAGACATTGGATAGAGTTTATTTTCTTGAAGTCTTCTCAAGTTATTATATCCCTTATAAGAGAGTACCTTGCCTCTTTGGCCATGTGAGAATGTGGAGAAGACAGCCATCTATAAAGCAAGAGGTCAGGCTTTGCCATACACTGAATCTGCTGGCACCTTCATCTTGAACTTCTCAGCCTCTGGAACTATAAAAAATAAATTTCTCTTATTTTAAAACCACATATTTTATGTTACTTTGTTATAGCAATGCAAATGGACTAAGACAATAATTTATTCTAGTAAAAATGATGGGAATGGTGTCAAATTATTACTTGAAATAGGTTGATTTCTGGACAGTATTTATCTTTCAATAAGATATGTCAACAATCTATGTCAAAAGCTGATAATAAAATTTTTGTATTAACTAATCTTTTTTACTTTTTAAGAAGAAATTCTGGATGTAATGACTTTTGGCTGGTAATCACATACTGCTACTTTGGGTTATAATGTCTTTCACATAATGAAATCTAGATTTTAGTCCTCTATTTAAAAAAGGTTCATAGACAAAGTTGAAGTAACCTTTATTAGACTCAGAAAGCATTGACTTTTGAGACAAACATAAATTTATTAATGAAGGAGCTATTTTATTTAAAAATATATAAATCATGTTTATCCACTACTTGCAGGAATAATTAATACAAATGCACTGAAACTCATTCTTATAGTGAAAATAAAAATTTGTCATATGATATCAAATATTGGAGAATGTCACAGGTGTGTGAACCAGAGCAACTCCATCTTAAATAGGAGCTGGGTAAAATGAGGCTGAAACCTATTGGGCTGCATTCCCAGATGGTTAAGGCATTCTAAGTCACAGTATGAGACAGGAGGTCAGCACAAAATACAGGTCATAAAGACCTTGCTGATAAAACAGGTTGCAGTAAAGGTGTGGGCCAAAACCCACCAAAACCAAAATGGTGACGAGAGTGACCTCTGGTCATCCTCACTGCTACACTCCCACCAGCACCATGACAGTTTACAAATGCCATGGCAATGTCAGGAAGTTACCCTATATGGTCTAAAAATGGGAGGCATGAATAATCCACCCCTTGTTTAGCATATCATCAAGAAATAACCATAAAAAAAGAGGAACCAGCAGCCCTTGGGGCTGCTCTGTCTATGGAGTAGCGATTCTTTTATTCCTTTACTTTCTGAATAAACTTGCTTTCGCTTTGCACTGTGGACTCACCCTGAATTCCTTCTGGCGTGAGAGCCAATAACCCTCTCTTGGGGTCTGGATCGATACCCCTTTCCTATAACAAGATTATTTAAATAATGTTAGGAAAGCTCAGCATCATTAAGTTAACCGCACTATTGGAAATGCTAATATTTTATAAGTGTTTCATAAAGGCAAGATTATAAATAACCCTGTATGCAAGTATCTCAGCTCAGAATACCATATTGAAATAACCACTCAGTTTGAAAGACTTTAAACAATTCTTGTAAAACTGTTTAGCAGAGTATGGCAATGGCCTGTGTTACTTATATATCCACGGTAGCAGTAGAAATGAGGATAAGTGGATGGATAAGAAATATATTTTTGAGATAGACACAAATAGGACTTGCTGCTGAATTTGGTATGAGGGTTTAGGGAAAGAGAGGAAAAAATGATTACTCCTAGGATTCTGGTTGAGCATTTGGTGTGGATGATGGTAACATTTGCTGATGATGAGGAATACTGAGACAAAAGTAGATTTTCATAGCATAGGATTGGTGAGGACATAAGACAATACTGGACATAATAAGTATGAAAGGCCTACTACATATTAAAGTGGAGATAAAAAAATAATGCATGTGCAGGAAGGAGGATAAGGGAGAGATTTAGATATATAGGGGAGAGATTAGGAAGCAGTGATAAATATGAGACATTTGACCAAGATGGCCATAAAGTTTTCCACAGCTCAACTGACAAGCTTCTTCCTGACTCTAGGCTCCTGATCTCCCTTTTCTTAGAGCATTTACTTTAGAAAACTTTTAAGATGTAAATCATTTTAAATGTCTTGACAGGTTTACAACCTAAGAATGACTTTCTTAAAGACGTGGAAGCCATCCCTTTGAAATGTAATCATTAAGAAGATAATGCCCTCATCTTCCAGTCTCTGTAAGAGAGTAGGAATCTAACATCAATTAGCAGACTGGCTAAACAGGATTTCTGGGTGTGTGTGTGAGGGTGTTTCCACATGACATTAGCATTTGAATTGGTGGACTCAATGAAACTAACTGCCTTCACTTATGTGGATGAGCATCATCAATCTATTGAGGGCTGGAACAGAACAAATGGCAGAGAAAGGGAGAATTTGCCCCAGTTTCTGCCTGACTGTGTGCAGTGGTGTGCTAATTAGGCACTGATTAGCAGACACAAATGGCCTAAGAACAGAGAAACACTTTTACACACTCAGGAATAAGTCATGCTTACCACCTTCCACTGATCAGATTCCCCCCATAACTTCTATTAAAATAATAGACCATGAAATCTAGGGCTTTACTACTGTGATCTGAGGACCAGCAACACTGGCATTCCTGGGAGATGGTTAGAAAAAAAAAAAATACTCAGAACTCCCTAAATCAGAAGCTGCATTTTTAACAAGATTCCCAAATGCGAATAAGTGGATAATGGAGGATGGAAAAGTGAACTGGATGTGTTAGAATGTGGGCTGTGGGATAAATTAAATGAAAGGATGGGATGGCATGGTCAAAGCCAGCAATGTTAAATCTAAGCTGAATACAAAGTGAGTTAATGGGGTTATCAATGATGGCATGGTCAAATTTACAATCATGGGTGGGACTGGCTGACAGCAATCCAGGTGCTAGACTCACGGGTGAGGTGAGTAAGGAAGAGTGACAGGGAGGTCTTTAAGAGTGATGGCCATCAAAAAGAGTGCATAGTGCAATGGCATGTGCTTCATGTTTTGGTTTTTAGAAAAACAAAGGAAGGAAACATAGTTTAGAAGTGTTAGCAACACCCCCTTTGTTGTCTCTAGTTGTGAGGTACATGCAAAGGAAATAAAAAACAGCCTTTTCTTGAAAGAGCTAGGTGGAGGTTGTGGCCTGAGGAAATGTGAGGTTTCAGATAAGCCAGGAATTGGCAAACTGTTTCTGTAGAGAGCCGGATAGCACATATTTCAGGCTTTGTGGGCCAGGTGGTCTCTGTCAAAACTACTCAACTCTGTTCTTGAAGTAGAAAAGCAGCCATAGATATTAAGTAAATAAATGAGTGTTTCAATAAAACTTTTTGTACAAAACAGGCAACAGGATAGATTTTGCTTGTGGGCTGTTTGTTGATTCCTAAACTGAGGCATCTAGATGAAGAGTAGTGAGGATAATAAATGCTAAAATGAGGATAACTGACCATAGGTTCCAGAGGAATTAGTGGAAAGCATTGGCAAGCTGTGGAAGATTTATGTCAAGTTAGGAGTGTGACACCCACTCTTAGTGAGCAAGATTTCTGCTGGTTGC
The DNA here is from genome assembly GCF_000001405.40 of Homo sapiens. Classification (NCBI taxonomy): domain Eukaryota; kingdom Metazoa; phylum Chordata; class Mammalia; order Primates; family Hominidae; genus Homo; species Homo sapiens. Next base: position 13,914 of record NW_021160014.1, read on the forward strand.
TAAAGTAAACACCAACATGAGTCATGGAGAATTAGTCCTGATATTGTCTTCTTAAATTATAAATTAACCACTTATTTTATAATATTTCATCAACATACAACATACATTTTAAACTGTATAGAAGCTATAAAAGTGAAATGAAACTTGTGTGCCCAGCTTAAGAAATAGGTTATAACTAATGTTTTGAAGCCCTCATGCATCCTCTCACATTCATATCTGTCTTTCCCTTACTCCAAAGATAAGCTCTACTGTAAATATTTTGTTTTTGTTTTTAGTTTTTCTATACCTGGATTTAAGTTAAAGGACAAGTATAGAAATTGGATGACTGAATAAATAGTTAAGGACCTCAGGAGAGATTGAGAAACTTCTCTCCCAGAAGTGTGTTCTTATATTTCAAAGGCAGATAAAAATATGATGCCAGTCATTCATTTACATTCCAAAGAATTTGAAATTAGGAAACTTCCTCTTCTCTTCCCAGAGAAGATTTGTTTACATGAAGTAGATAAAATTATCCCCAATCTCTGGAGGAGAAGGTAGCAGCTGGGCAGTTTATAGCCCACATAAGCTCCCAGAATTGTAATTTTGGGATTCCTCGCCTTTGGTACAAAAATCTTCTTTTATACACTTGCAGACCTGGCTCTCATTGCATCACTTTGAAGGGGAGAAATAGGGTACAGGAAACCAATGTGCTTACTACTGTAATAATAGTCTTCCCCCAGTCCAGAAGCTTCATGTTTATTTTCGGGGCAAAATAAATAAACATAGATATCAAAAACTAACCATCAGCAGCAGTGGAATACATATTCTTTGTATTATATATTCTGTGGGCTCTGAGGCTTTAGAATTCCTATTTCCTAAAAGTACTCACGAGATTCACCATGAACACAGAAAAATCTTCACTGAATTATAAGCTATGACACCTGTGTGAAAGTTGGGGCTCCTCGTGTTTGCAGACCAGAAGATGAGAAAAAGGGTCATTATCCTGGCTGCATTAATTGACTCATGATCAGAAGGTAGGGATGCTGCTATACAATAGTGAAGAATGAGGCACCTTGTTCATCCACTTGGGCACTTCTTGATAATTCCTCATACAATTTTAATAGGAAATACATGTGTATAGCAGCCACAACCTGAGAAGTACATAAAATATCCAGGGCGCAGATCACTCCAGAATGAAGGACTATGCACCCCGCAAGCCATGGAGATCTGCAGAGGTGCTTTTTGAGGGAGAGAAGAATCTAAAATGGAAAACAAAGATCATGAGTGCCAGTCATGATGGTTCTGATAGCAGCTGCAGCAATGACAGCTGTCGTTTGTCCCACTGATCATCCTCTTATATAAGTTTCCCTTAATAAAAGTAGCCTATCTCAACCTTGCATGAACTGCATCCTCTCACATTCATATCTGTCTTTCCCTTCCTCCAAAGATAAGCTCTACTGTAAATATTTTGTTTTTGTTTTTAGTTTTTCTATACCTGGATTTAAGTTAAAGGACAAGTATAGAAATTGGATGACTGAATAAATAGTTAAGGACCTCAGGAGAGATTGAGAAACTTCTCTCCCAGAAGTGTGTTCTTGTATTTCAAAGGCAGATAAAAATATGATGCCAGCCATTCATTTACATTCCAAAGAATTTGAAATTAGGAAGCTTTTATAGAAATTAGGAAACAGTTTATAAGAATACTCAAGCAGCACGAGGACTAGACGTTAGTGGATTCTGTGCTGCACTGCCCAGATCCTCCTGTAGGATTGAATGACTTATTCTCTTAGCTTCTGGTAGTGCTACTGCCGTCAGACAGCACTCGGTGGCCACCTCACAGAAAGTCGTATTTCTGACCTGGGCAGCCAATATGCAATGACTATTCAATGCTGGGGGATAATCTCCCCTCCCCTTGTACCAACATGGAACAAGTGAGAAGGGCATGGGATTGACAGAGGCCTCCTTTGTTGACACTGCATCACTGACCACCTTCACCCCTGCCCACTTCTACTTTCTCCTTTCCTCTCTTTCCACAGCTCTTTTTTTCCCAAGAACAACCTTTACTATTTCCCATAGGTTAATTTTAGTCTCATTGTCTTCTTCTTGAGGAACCCAACAAATAACACATATCAGTTAATAAATTATTTTAAAAATATGTGTCTGAATGATACACTGATACTTTGAGGGATAAATGTTAAAAGTGTCCATTTGTAAAATTTAAAAAGAAACATTCTTAAAATTCCAGTGAAAAATGCACAAGCTGATGGGAGCACTCACCAAAGCTGAGCACCTGCTATAGCACCTTCTCTGGAGGACAGATGAAAACTCATAGAGCAGTACTGTGGCACCTTTGCTAGTCAAATGTGTAGCAGTGGCAGCAGCAGTCACCTCATGTGGGAGCTTGTTAGGCTGTCAGTCTCGCCCAGACCTGCTGAGTCAGATTCTTCGTTTTTATAAGATCCTAAGATAATTCCTATTCTCTGATTTAGATTAATGATTCTCAATCCTGACTGTAAGGTAGAATCACCTATGAGCTTTGAACAAAATACCTATGCCTATGCCACACTCCAAATAAATTCTACCAGATTCTCTGGGATATGGTGTCTGAGCATTGGTATATTATAAAAGTTCCCAAGGCTTTTTCTAATGAATAGCTAGAGTTAAGAGTCACTGATACAGAGAGTATCCAAGGTTCGTTTTCCCCTTGAATGTCTTAGGTCAATCACAAATTTCTATAAAATCCTTCTGGATTCCCATCACTAAGTTTCCATTTTTCTCTTAGAATTTTAAACCATTTGTTTCATTTCCATTCTTTCAACCTCAGAATGAAAATATGAAACTGTACATGGATCGGTTCGTTTATTGTCTGATTGTGGCTCTAGAAATTGCAGTTTTCTATCCTTCCTTCTCATGGGATTATGGAAAAGGTAAAATTAATAAATGGCCATAAAGCTCAATTTCCAGGTACAAAAACCAATGCCATATTCACTCCCTTTCAAATACTGTTTCAGTTTGGTTAGAAGGATTTTCAATTTCAACGCATTTTTAAGGGTCAGTCAATGAGGTTTGGCACCAAGGCAAATTATTCAATCCTTTTATCTTCCCCAATGCTTTGAGAAAAATAACCAAAATAAGGGATGAAAGCATATAAATAGCTGCAGGCCATTGATTCCTGCACAAGCAAACATGTACCAAAGACAGGAAAAAAAAATTCCATCTCTCCCTTCTGCTCAAAATAGGAGACAATTCATATAGTCTCAAAAGTATAGGCCTGAATAAAGTAAATAGGTCTGAATAAAGTAGTAGACATAATAAATAATAAAATACGCATGTATTACATAGCAATTTTAAGTGTGCCTGGGGCATGGGGGCTTCTCCACATGTTCTAGAGACTTTCTATTGACTACAGTCACTGAAGTATAGGAAAAGGAATGGATAGTTTAAATATTTAAAAGCCACTTAATAATAATATAAGTTAAGAAAGTCTATAAGCATGTCTAAGTAGAAACTTACATGCATGAATATTTTTTGTATGTTAAAGCTCACGTGAAGACATATATTTAAAAACACATTAGAGCCGGGAATATTTTGTTACTGTTGAGGTTAAATAACTGAAAAAGAATATTTTGCTTATGTCAGTGGGAAGTTTATCAAACTGTTGTTAAAATTTGGAATTTGGTAGTTTTGTCATTATTATTATTATTAGGAATATATTAAGGAGAAGATACAGGAAAAATATCATAAAGAAAAATATTCAACCGAAAGTCAAGTAAAGAAAGTTCTTCACAAATTGAATTACAAACATTAGAATTCATCCCTTCCAAATATGCTAAAAATGACTCAATTCCCAGAGCAAAATTAAAATCAGAATTATTTTTATGATTGTTTTACAATTGCCTTGGCTATAAAGAAACATAGACCTATAAATCATTGTGGAAATACTTTTGAAATATTTTGAAAATAATTTTGAACTGAATTACTTGATTTTCCATTTTCAAATTCAGGAAACAATAGTACTATCATTTTTCTGACTATAGACATGCCTAAGAGGAAAAAAGTCAGGACTGGTTATAAGAGTCACACAGGTTTTCTGGCAGTGAACATATATTTTATTGACTGAACTATAAAGGATTGAAATTATATTATTATAAGTTAACTGTTATGATCTACATGTTCATTTGATTTTAAAGCTAATTGAACATTGAATGCAATATATTTGAAAATTTAACATCTAGAAAAAGTATACACAGACTTCCAAAAATTCACAGTGGGGTTGTTTGACATTTCAAGCTATACCAGACTCAACTACTCAATCATTTTCAGAGTAAAAAGTAATATTTACCTTTTAGGTACAAGGGAAGAGAAAGAATCTCATAAATAACTATGTTTAAATCTGAAAATATATGTATTTGTTAGTCTGTAGAATAGACTCTGTCCCTGTGTTAACTTGGAAAATACATTTCCTTTGGAAAATCAAGATAAGTAAGTGTCTGCAGTATAAAAGGGACTTATAAAAAGGGAGGCTTTCTGTCACTGACAGAGTATGAAACTTCTATTATGATATGTGCATGATTTAATTATTACAGCATTTTAAAGACCCTGTCAAAGCTTCAGATATTTCTGTCTGTGGCTTCGGACCTCAAATGGCATATTAATTAATTAAAGGTTTTGGCTGTATGGGTTTTTGCTCACAGATGTTAACTAGTAGTGTTTGTGCAGTTTTCAAGGTTACTGCTAGGAATCTTAGAATCACAGAAACGTTGGTGGAGTCCATCTGGTCCATGGTGTGATGACAGATTCTCTGACAGCAAAGATTAGGGAGAATATTTCTCTAGACAGCCTTCCCCAATTAAAATACAGAATCCTATAACCACTCTCCCCCTCTGCTCTTGCTCTCCTCATTTGCTAATTTTTGTTTCCATTGTACCAACAGCAGCCTGGTAGCTTTAGTAGGTAGGTACTTTGGCCTCATGAGACAAGATGCTCAATAAACTTCTCAAACTTGAAAACCTATTTAGTTATCAGCAACCTAGCGACTGTCAAAAACAGGATATACTGTGAATCACCACAAAAGAAGTGAAAGAGGTTCTAGAGACAAGCGCTCCAAAGATGTTTTCTGCTTCATGCTTAATTAACTTGAATGATCAGTCTTTGGAGCATAAACAAATGAATCTTTTCACCAGAACATATTGTCAACAACCCAGGAAAACATTATGGTGCAATAAGCTTTAGAGATAATTCTTTGCCTTTTGTTAATGCATTTTGAGTTATAAGCATTAGAATTCAACCCTTTCAAATATGCTGTAAAGGACATAATTCCTAGAGCAAAATTAAAGTCAGAATTATTTTTATGATTGTTTTTGTGATTAAGAGTTACTTCCCGGAAATAATTCAAAAATTTTGATATGCTTCAAAATCTCTAAATCCTTTTCTTCTTCCATAAACTATATTTTAATTATAAACTACTTATCATAGAAACTATTGACAGATTTTAACCCTTCAGACATCATAATTAAAAGTAGATTGATTTTTCTTTGTACATGAGCCTTCTATCAGCACCATCCTAGTTACATAGGAACACTTTTGAAAGACGTGAAAATATAACGTTTTTGTGTCTCAAAAATGCATTCCAAAAAGCAAGACTAAAACAAAGGGCAGTAATGACAAAAAGTGTAATTGAAAATTCAGAAACCTCATATGCTAATGGAGAAAATTTATTTTACTAAAAGCAATAAAAATGGATAGGGGGTTACTCTTGGTTATATATATTTAATATTATCTGTTATATAAGTGTTTGAAAAAATACATACAAGACTTTAGACTTCAGACATTAATACACATAGGACTTCAGATTTTTCCAGTGCATTTTAAGTTGTAAAGGGCAAAATGAAATAGTGGTTTTTGTAAACACAGGAAAGTTTAGAATTTCAGAGCTTCTAAAATGTGCAAATATATAATACTAGTACAAATGTTATTTTCTGATGTTCATTTTAAAATAACCAATTTAAGACTAACTTAGTGGTTATAAGGAAGTTGGGTATTTAATTTCAAACTGTTGTCTAATTTTATTTGTAAAAGTATAATTTAGTAAATTTGGTAACTCGTCATAGTTGTTCAAGTATTTCAGTGACAATATTTTTAATTTGGAAAAGTGTTGAAAGTAATATCTTGTTCATTATATAATGACTCATGAAAAAAACCCAAAATAATGCCTTAGTAAAACCAAAATAAACACATACATAATAACTTTTTAGAGAATACTGAGGCTTGCGATTGTACTTGTTCTAAAATTGCTGCCTCCTTTCAGATGTTTTGGGGCTTTTCCTTGAGATAAAACGTATTAAAAGTAATTGGAAGGTATCTTAAAGTAGGGATTTTGTTTTAATTAACTAAACAACAACAAACAAATCAACTTCTGCTGAATCAATCATCAGACCTTAGAGTGGCTTCTCTTTCCTAAAGGGTTTGTTTGGAACATGAGGCAGGCTGCATGTCATCTGATACAACTTGGAATCAGGTTAGTTGATATACATACTCCAGTCACATACACCTTATTTCAGAAACTTCTAAACACTACATCTAGGAGACTTGAGCAAAACCCAAATTCTTTTTTGTATGTTTCTCCACAAGAAACATCATTACTTCTGTGATTCTATGCAAATCAGACCTGTCAAATAGATCTAGGTCTTCCAAAATTTTAAAACTGTATGTGCAAGTTATTTCTCTGGGTTTATGTAAGTATTATCTACCATAGCCGGTGCTATTGTTCTAATAATAAATTGGACTGAATTATACTGAGCATACACAGTATTATTTTATTAAGTCCCTCCTCTGGTCAATCTTGAGAAGATAATGTCCACAAGCCTCCTCTCTTCTCTAGCTACAATATCTAAGAGAGGATTCTAGTTCTATTGATAATATCAAATATTTTTTCAAATAGATTGTATCAGTTTATAACCCTGTCAAAAAATATAAGAATGACTATTGATAAACATACTCATCTATATTTAGTATAATTGTTTCATTAGTGTGAGAGGGTATTTGATCATTTTCCTGCAAAGGAAGATTAGTGTCTTTTTATATATTTCTTGGCAAACCATCTTTCCTCTCAGTAAAATGCATCTTTATGACTGTTGGCATTTTTCTGTTTCTAATTCTTTCATCTATTCTATATTTATTTGTGGGAGAACTTTATATGTTATATTGACTAATTCTCTGTTTTATCTATTGAAAATATCTTTCCTGGTTGTCTTTATGATCATTTTGATGAATAAAAGTTTATAATTTTAATCGAGTTCAATTCATCATAATTTTCTTTGTGGCTTTTGTGCTTTTTAATTTTTTTTGTTTAAAAAACTCATTTTAAAACTTATCAAGGTTGCCTATTACATCTTCTTCTAAGAATTTTAAATTTTTACTTTTCATACGTGAATCCAAAATCCACCTAAAATTGATATGTATGTGTGGATGAACATGCACCTTTCTTGTTGGAAAACAATATAAATTGTCATACTGATTTTTGTATGTGCATCACTTTATTTCTAATCTCTCCCTTCTTCCATTGGTCAATGTCATACCATTGTGCTAATAATAGAGTATTTTAGTGATACGAATTTATAATAGTTCTTGTCATATGATACTAGTTTTTGTTTTTCAGGAGCTGGTTATTTTTGGCAATTTGCAATTTGACTGGAGTAGCAGATCAAGTTTTGGATAATTTTTATTTTGTATTAGAAAATTTTTCTATTTATAAACATAAACTAGATCTACATATTCCAAAATGTATTTAACAACCCTTTTATGAGTTTCTATAAAGTTTTACAATTTTTTACATTATGTGTAAGATTTGTTCCTTCTAACATTATGTTTTTTCATCCTAAAGTGGACTGTTACTTATGATGAGCGGAGAAGCCATCGTAAGAGTTTAAAAGAGAAGTGATATGGTATAGATTATATTTTAGTTACTCTGGCCGCTCTACAAATAAACTAAAGCAAGGGTGGCACAAAGATAGACTAAGTATAGTCATTTTAAAAGTTGTTGCTATAATTCAGGAGAAGATTATGGCAACTTTGCCAAGATTGTAGGAGTAGAGATAGAAAGGAGTTGTGACATTTTTTGACATATTTTGAAGACAGCAACGCAGGATATAGTGATAAATTTGATATGCATTATGAGAGAAAGAGAGAAGTCATGGTGAACTCCAAGGTTTTTAGTTTGAGAAACAGAAAAAGTGATGTTACCGTTTAGAATATAGAAAAAACTGCAAGAGGAATACACGTGGGTGATGGGAATATAAGAAGTTCAATTTTGGAATGATAAGTGTGAGATCCCTCTTAGATGTTCCAGTTGTCGTGTTGGGTAGGTATTTAGATATAAGTCTAAAGCCTAGGGGAGAAGCCTGGTTGTAGATACACTTTTGGAAGTCATTAGATATAGGATTTTCCATGTCTTGAGAGGATGAGATGACAAAAACTTGATGTATATTCTTAAAAAAGCAAAACAGCTTGAAGAATGAGGCATGTGGCACATCCATATTTAGAAATGTAATCATGAGGTGTACCAGCAAAAGAGACTTCTGTGGTCCACTCAGAAATGTATTAGGAATTGGAGTCAAGTATGATGTCTCAGAAGCAAAAGTTTGTAAAAGTGTTTTAAAGAGAAATGCTTGAGCAACCCCTGATAAGCCAGGTAAGATAAGAATTAAGATCTGATCGTTTTACTTTTCAGCATTGAATCATTAGTGACCTTGATGAGAAAAATTTCATGGAGAAATAGGAATAAAAGCATGACTAAAAAGCACTCAAGACTATTTAAGGTGAGAAATCATGTCCAGCTTCATGTGAACATGTTTGGGCTGGCGTGATGGAGGATAAAAAAAAAAATGTGAAACAAAAATGAGCCCCTAGCCCACTCAGGAGCTGATCACAAATACATGAGTAAACCAAACCAAGACCAATGAAATCTTCCAAATTGGAATCAGCACAAACTTCCAATTCTGCTGAATTGTGAACTAAAATTTTAAAATGGAAAAGAAATAGACAACAACGAACCCAGAATGATACAAAAAAAGAAACACTCAGAGAGCAAGAAAGAGTTCTTAAATTTCAACTAAAAGGATAGAAATATTTTAGGAGTTATTCAAACTCCCAGAATAAAAAGTTGATGAAATCATGCAGTAAGTGGGGAGGGGGAACAACAGTAATATAGAAAAAATGCACTTGAGTTGAGAAAATTAAGGAATTAAACCAAAAAGTTCAATATGAATACAAATGCAAATTTTCAAAAAAGGAAATCAGAAAATGGAGAGTAGCAAGGTATCGAAGACATGATGTTAAAAAGCATATCCTAGAACTGAAGGGGATATATTTCCAAATTAAAAGGATTCCAGGAAAAAAACAGACAAAGCACATCATGTTCAAATTTTAGCACACTAAACAGAAGACCCTGTATTAATTTCCTAGGGCTCCTGGAACAAAATGCCCAAAATCAAGTGGAGTGCCTTAAAAAACAGAAATTTATTGTCTGACATCTCTGACTGTTAGAAGTATAATATCAAGGTGTCAGTTAGGTTGGTTTCTTTTGGGAGCCTAGAGAAATATATATCTAGTCCAGATCTCTTACCTTGGCTAATAGATAACTGTCTTCTTTCTGTTCTCTTGACATCATCTTCTCTCTACATGTATCTGTTTCCATGTTCTAATATTTCCTTTTTATAAGGACATCAGTTACATTGGATTTGGATTAGGGCCCACCTAAGTGACATCATCTTATATGTCTGGAAGGATACTATTTCCAAATAAGTTTATATTTTGAGGTAGTGAGTGGGGAGGGCTTCAACATATTAATTTTTAGAGAACACAATTTAACCCATAACAAGTCTTAACATCATGCAGAAAGAAAATTTTTATATAGATATAACAAATCACATAAATATAAGTGGATTCAGAATGACATTGGACTATTCAATATACCTTCAAGGTTCTGAGGGAAAATGATTTTCAACCTAGAAGTCTTTACACACAGAACTAATAATTAAATGTAAAGGTGGGCTACAGACATCTTTAGACATGAAAGGGCTCCTGTGTTAACTTCTCATACTCCTTTTCTCTGGAAGCCACTGCTGCATATACTTAATAAAGGAACAAAGGTGGATTTACTATGAAGTTAATGAAGCTTTGGCTTAAGAGTCCCTCATTTGCACAAGCACCTTTCAATGGATGGAAGTGACCCTAGCAATGTGTTAACATGATCAAATGATTTGGTGAACATTTAGAAGAAATATTATTTAGCCACTATTGATTAAGAAGCTACTGCTTCCTACCATCTTGGCTAAGATCAGGACTTCAGTTTTCTAAGTCTGAAAGAAGGTTTTGGACTAACCCAGCTGCCAGAGTTCTGCAAGTGTTCTGGTCTCTGGCAGGAGCTTAAAACAGATACAACTGCTACAGCAGTCACACCTCTACCACTTTCATTTTTAGATCTAGTCTGGTGAGACAGAATGCTCACACAGGTCAGGTAAAGCAACTTCGTTACTCACAGGCAGCAAGAATCAACAGAAGCCTAGAATCCATGGCAAGCCAATCTCCCAAGCTCAGAAAGCCTCCCAGGTAGGATACATAGGATACAGTCTTTCCTGTGCATTTCCCACCTTGCACCACAGCTGAGAGACTCTCAAGGCACTCAACTCTGGGTTTTACACCCCAGGGGCAACTTGGATCACTGGGCACAAGCATTGCCGGATGTCCTGCTCTAGGATGGATGAGAACAGAGCCTGAAAAGATCTGAAAATATCCTCATTATCACAGGATATCGCATTCTGGGCATATTCTACAATTATTCGGAAAACTGCAGGCAAGGGTAATAAGAACTCGGTCAGCCAACATCAGCTGCGGACCTGTCCTCCTGCAAAGCCTGTTATAGTTCCTCATACAGGTGTCCTGGAGGAGCTGGCTGCAGCTGTTTTTGAAGTCCAGCTAAGAAGAAGATTATTATAAATACACTATTTGGTGTTTAGTAGGACATATTTACAAAGCTCACATCATTCCCGTGTGTAATTACATCTTTATCAGCTGTCTCAGTGTAAGAATGGCGTCTGATAATCTCCCCCCGACCATTATGCCAATTTATCTGGATTGGTGGCATCAAAGTTCAGTCAGGGATTTATCACACTAAGACTGTATCCTTCCACAGCTAACACCAGAGGACATGGGTAGGAAAAGAGATAAAAGATGTAAAATTTACAGGGGCCAAAATAGTTGGTGAAAAAATTAAACAGCCATCATGTGTATAAATGGTAAGCAGAACATTTTGTTCTCATCAAATCCTAGAAAAAAATAGACATTCTCTCCAGCGAGGAATATACTGGATAATACAGGCTGCATGACTATAAATACACTTCATGTTTCTTCTTGATGGAAATTGTGCCAAAAATAGATTTTTACTGAATTCCTGTTTTTTTAGGGCATACAATTGTAGCAGTGCCACATAGTAGATCTGAGTGTAAAGTTGTGTGGATTGTATCTTAGCATCGTGTCTTGACTAATTTTGGAAGTTCCAGATGAAATCTGCCCCTAAGTAAAACAATCCGTGGTGAAACAACCTGAGGAAACCAGTCTCAAGTGGTAAAATCTTAGAAATAATCTTGCATGTGTCAACGTATGTGTACAATAAACATTTATGGTAGTTCAATACGGCTAGCAGCAATTCGTAAATGCATTTAAATTTATGGGATAAGAAATGAAAAGTAATAGGCAATTATTATCTTCAGGAGAGAATTGTAATCATGGTACAATACTTCGTTTCATTGAATAATTACCCAGTCAGAACAATTTGAGCACTGTACATCAATTTAGTTAACTATTATGATGTAATGACATTACAAGTTATAGGTTGTGTATTTGTGAGCCTTGTGCTTATGTATCTGTCTGCCCTGTGTGGGTGTTTTGTAAGCCAGGTAAATCCTCTTTCAAATTACTCTTGAAAATTAAATAACTGTCTAAAATTGTAAGTTGAAGAAATAGCAGTACAAGCATGCTAAATAGGGAAACAGCTAAAGGTGTAATAAGGTTGGTTCTGGGGAATAAGATTAATAGGTTGGGAAGAGAAGGATAGAAAATAGTGCATTTTGTTACACACTTTTAACTACTATTTGCCTTTTAGAAACATATTTATACATTTTTTTCATTAAAATTTAACTGAAAAATGGAGTCAATTCTGACACACTTTCATAAAATGGGTCCTTATCAACTTTCTAATACCCTGCCTTTTCTAGATAACCACTAAAATTGACTCACATTTTGTGTATGTAATACTAGTAGGATTATGCTTTCAAGATGATAAAAAGATTAAATTAAATTAATTATTTATCTGAAGAATACCTAAATTCTTGTAAACCAAATGGTAATTGAAATGGAGCAGACTGTTTGAATGTCATTGCCTGGAGCTAATAATATTTTAAAGGAACATAAGACTTAAATATTTATAAAATTGAGGGATTTTTTTTACTGTTTTCAAAAAAGATATTAAAATTTTACAACCTTTGTAGAATTGATTTTTCTCTTTCTGTACTCAACAGAAAAAATAGTTTTATATTAACAAATCAGAATATATAAAAAACTAATTGCTTACAAAATACAATTGTATCAAACACATAGAATATTGCAGTTTAGCTTCCTATGTTTGAATTTATTATATGAAGTAAAACAAAGATTAAAAATGTATGCATTGGGGTTTTTGAAAGTAGACATCATGCATTCATTCAGATTTTCTTACAGAAGAATCATTGATTTTATTCTGCATCTACATTTGACAAAGAAAGTATCAGAGGGGGGAAAAAAGTATGCCTCACAGGCAGGGTTGAAAATTCAGTTTCATTTTATTTCTTATCTTAATAGCAGGGAGCTGCTACACAGTAAAAAATATATGCTTTGGGAAGATTGAACTTGCTACCTTTCTCACGGCTGTTCATCTTTTTCTAAAGGACAGTTATCAACTAAGCAAAAAATGAGGAAATAGTTATTCTGCTTGGCTTATGATATTATAAATCTATGACCACGTAGCTAGAAAAATCCAAGCATTGTAACTTAGAGTTTAAAAATTAAGAGGAAAGTGCTAAAGTGCTGTTGTCGGAAGTATAGTTTCTGAAGTATATAGAATATAGCACGGCAGGCATGCTCTAGAACGGCCCCCAATAATCTTTACCTCTTGGTATTCAGGCTCTTGTGAAATCTCATCTTTGAGTGTGGGTTGGACTGATCGGCTTTCTTCTAAACAAGAGTGTGGCAGAAGTGATAGGATGTTGCTACCATGATTAGGTTATAAATATCTCTGGCTTCTGTTTTTGGTGCACTCACTCTTGGATTGTTCACTCAGAGTGGAGCCAGTTGTCATGTTTTGAGGCAGCTTTGGGGAGAGTTCCATTTAGTGAGCTTGGAAGCATATCTTCTGAGCCCTATCAGAAGCCACATGTGTGATCTTGTAAGAGTTGGGAGGCCGAGGCAGGTGGATCACGAGGTCAAGAGATCGAGACCATCCTGGCCAACATGGTGAAACCCCGTCTCTACTAAAAATACAAAAAAAAAAAAAATTAGCTGGGCTTGGTGGTACACACCTGTAGTCCCAGCTACTCAGGAGGTGAGGCAGGAGAATCGCTTGAACCTGGGAGGCAGAGGTTGCAGTGAGCCGAGATCGTGCCACTGCACTCCAGCCTGGCCACAGAGGGAGACTCTGTCTCAAAAAAAAAAAAAAAAAACAACTCTTTCAACGGTAAAGCCCTGAGATCACTGCAATCCTAGATGGCACCCTTATTGCAGGATCTTGAGACCCTAACGCAGAAACACCGAGCTATTCCACTCCTGGATAATGATGCATTGAAAGTATAGTGATAAACATTTGTGTTTTCAGCTACTAAAACTTTAAGATAGTTTGTTACGGAGCAATATGTAACTAATAACACAGACTCTAATTGAACCTCTGAGCCCATTTAATCTAAGTCTTAGATTCTACACTGTTAAAATGGATTATCACTGGTATGTATTTTGTATAGGTGTTGTGAAGACTTAATGGGATAATTCATATAATAACTCAGCATATGTAACTGCACATATGTAGTACTCAAATAAAGGAGCTATTATTTTTATTGCCCATTTAATTTTTGACAAGATCTCTGGGAATCCTTTAGTTCATTTTTCCACTGTTAGACTGGAGTATACCCCACCTTTTCAAAAGGTCAGTACATTACCAGTGCAACATATAATTTGCCTTTAACATTTATTTTTGCCAATATCAATTTTCCCTGCTTTTCCACAGACATCAGTTACTATTCTTAGCCTAAAACTCAGTTCTCTCCAAACTGCTGAACCCATTCTGATTAAGCAGGCAATACATATATTAGCAGTCTTGAGGTAGGAGGCAGGACTTGAACTCTGGACCAGATTGAAGACTAGCTGAAACAGGGAAGAAGTGAAAGCACCTCTGTTAGACACACCCACCAGTGTCATGTCAGTTTACCATTGCCATAGCAACACCTGGAAGTTACCACCCCTTTCAATGGCAATGACCCAATGACCCAAAATTTACTACCCTTTTTCTAGAAATTTCTGCATAAGCCACCCCTCAATTTGCATGTAATTCAAGTGGGTATAAATATGACTACAGACCTGCTTCTGAGCTGCTCCTCTTCACTGCCTATGGAGTGGCTCTGCTTTGCAGGAGCAGTCACAGATCTGTAATACGGCCGCTTTGATAAAGCTGTTTTCTTCTATTACTGACTCCTACCTGAATTCTCTCCTGAACAAAGCCAAAAAATTTCTGGGGCTAATTCCCAATTTGGGGGCTCATTTTGTCTGCAACAGTCTTAGTCTCCAACCAGCTGAGTTTAGAATGAATACTACAGTCTTAATCCCAAAACGAGATTAAGTTTGGGGTTTGAGGAGTAATAACTTCTTAAACTTCAGAATTGTCACTGTCTCTCATTAGCTTTCTTCCTGGGCTATGACTTCCCTGATTTGTTCAATAAGACAGAATACCAGGCCTGGTGGCTGTATGTCACAAAATACAATTGTATCAAACATATAGATGTAAAGTAGATTATTGCAGTTTAGCTTCTATATTTGAATGTATTATATAAAGTAACATAAGGATTAAAAATGTATGCATTGGGGTTTTTGAAAGTAGACACCATGCATTCATTCAGATTTTGTTAAAGAAGGATCATTGATTTTATTCTTGCATCTACATTTCACAAAGAAAGTATGGTTTATTTCTTCTACATTTCACAAAAAAGAGCATGGTTGGTCCCTAAACCAACCATACTTTCTCTCTTAATTCTAATACCTCTGTGATTCCTGAGATTTTTCTTCCTTTAGTGCAAATAAGCTCTCAGTTGGCCTACATGGATTTCAGCAACTATTTGTCAGACAATTTTGATAACTCCATGATGAGGATAAGCTTTTATCATTTCCTCTGTTATTCCCTCAGAATAGATAGTCTCAGATCTTTCACTGACTTTTCCTCTTCTTCCTCCATATGTCCTATTTTTCAATATTTGTCTCACTACACCTTCATTCTATCTTTATCACAGTAAGATTGAAAACGGCACCTTTTTTTCAAAGTCAGTAATTTACTAAAGTTATGTGAGACAGTGTGAAGAAAAAAATCATTGTCCAACAGTTAGGATAAAGTATACCTTCTCAGTAAAAGTGAATTTGTGTCTCCAAAGATTGATTTTATTAAAGCATCTTTTATTTCCACCCCCAACAAAATGTACTCAGTACGACCAGTTTCTGATAGCACTAACTCAAACTCGTACACTAAAGAAAGTATACTTTTAAAATGATGATGACTATTTATATCTATATATAATGGGATTGGTATAAACTGTCATTTTCTTTATAAAAAAGATCTTGACCTTTAGAAAATGGAAGTTTTTCCCCGTAATTTAACTTAAGAGTGAAAGGTTGATTTTATAATTCTTTATGAATAATAGACCCATGACTATAAATTCAGCAGATTGTGAGACACAGTAGTTGTGATGAATTGTTGTCAATATAAAGTAAGATATCAGGACAATTTTGTAATACAAATTGTATACAACATCACAATCATTCTGGTGAAAATTTTAAGGAACTTAATCATTCCTAAAGCTAAAATGATGGACTGATATAGTTCTACATTAGTTTGTTGAGATAAATATCTTCACTCGAGATTTAGCACATTTTAGGAATGACAAGTGAATGTATGGTAAAATCAGTAATATGCACTGATGGAGTTCACCCTTACCTTATTTTTTTCCAATTAGAATGATGTTATAAATTAAACATAGTGACAATGAGGTGGGATAGGTTCTAATGTATAAATCCTGAAGTGAATATTTCTGTTACTATAACATGCCAGGAGATTTTATTTGCATACCCAGTTTATAAGGTATTTGATTAATGCTATAATTAACCCCAACTTAAAAATAAATGTGAAGGTCATTTTAATTGCTGACATTTAATCTGTGCATGAGTTATATGGAAGAATATTTTTAATTTTATCACTTAAAGGGTGTTTGTCTCCTCTTGAAATTATTTTCTTTTTATTTTCCATGTTATAATTGTCACCTTTGTTGTTCCTTCAAAAAGCACCATCCAGAAAATATGCTTAATAATAAAAACTAAGCACAATTACCTAAACATGCTTTTCTTCCCCTGAGACACAGCAAAGCACAGGGAAAGTATGAAGAAAGAGACCCAGCAGCAGTGATATTTTTATAACTACACCCTGTAGGTAATCAACAATTTGCTGAAATGTTTTTAAAATATCTATAAATCTTACTACATGTGTAATGGTCCTTTTACAAAGTGTATCAATTACAGACAGACAATAAACTGTAGTGCATATTTTCCCAGCCCAAAGACAAAAAATATTTTGAGATTAAAAAAAAGTCTGTGTGTGTGTGGGGGTGGGTGTATACACATACATACATATGAAATGCTACACAGAGTATCTATCCCATTAGTGTTTATAATTCACATTAGTAAATTACTCTGCGGAAAACATTATATAGGAAACATTTTAAATTAAGTCTAGCCTAATTTTTCTAAATTTAATTAAAACTCTTCCTTTTTTTTCACTGCACACGTATCATCTTCTCAAAATGTTTTGTGCAAGGAAGACTAAAACCATGTGGTAGGAAGTATCATCTTCATTATACAGACAAGGTAACTGAGTTAAAATATGAAAACATTCACCCAAAGAAAACCTATAAATGATAGTACTGCAATTTTAATATGGATCAACTGACTTACGATTCAGTTTCCTTTTTGTCACCCAAATTTGTCCTTCATATATATAATTATATATTTATTTTTATATATAATTTGAACTCTATATATAGAGAGAGTCTGGTTATGTTTTTAGAAAACATATTAAATGTTAAGGTATCTCTGAAGAAAACTACACATTATATTTAAATACTAATTTATTTTCCCTCTAATTGCTGTATAACTCTGGGTGAACTTCCGGGATTGAGGATGCCAAGATTAAAACAGATTGCCAGGTGAGCTGGTAGGAAAAAATGTGGATATTATTACAACCTCATCTTTCTGCTCCTCAAGTGCAAAATTTTGGGAAAAAAAATGTGAGTAGGTGTGATTCTTACACAGTTTCTCATTTGGTGGAAAGTTACTTTTTGAAAGATTGAACACAGGCAGTAAGAGCTCTTGAATTCAGAGGACTGGCTTCATTGCCTACAATCTGTGTACTTATAAGTAATTGGTAAACCATTAAGTGCATTATGAAGAATATTAGAAATGGAAAACATTTAAAAATTATTTGTTGGTATGAATTAATAAGATTGGCCATATATATAAATATGGTGTACCCATAAAAATGCAACAGTTGTATACTAAAAAGTAACCCAGATGCAGAATTGTATCTATATTGATATCTATATCCATATTTATATCCATGTAAATACATAGACATACAGATAGATATAGATTAGATATAGATACAGGTAAAGGTAAAGTACAGATATAGAGATAGAGATATCCATTTTCTTCTCAGAAAAGATAACAAAACTACTCTCATAATCTATTTTATTCAATAAACCTTTATCTGTACCCTAATATATAGAAGGCATTGGTCAAGGCCCTGTGATTATTTAGTTAAATAATACTACTCTGACCTCAAGAAATGTAAATAAAGTCTCGTAGACGAGAACAGGCTTATATACCTGTAAAATAAAGGGGAAAGGACAAGGTCTAATATAATAAACGCTATATAAATTCTATAGTTGAGATAAGACCATTGGATGAAGGGATTACTGGTTCTGTTTCAAGGAACTGTTAAAGGCTTAATGATTGAACAGGCTATTTATTCAGCTTAAAATATCCAAACACTTCACTCTATCACTATTTTATTAAATCTTTACCAGAAGGATCTAAAGTCCTTGAAATAACTTAGCTCTATTTAAATATATCAAATCCAGTTTCAGATTCTTTCACTGGGTCTTCACGTTGAAAGTGAATGTTCAATTGAAGGTAACTTTCAATTCACCTTCTGAAGTCAGTACAGAAAGAAAATCAGTTTTGCTCTAATGTTTAGTGGCTTCTCTGCCTGCCTCTGAGGCATTGAAAGGCTGTAGACGATCAGCAGTCCTACAGGGTTTTTGTTTTAAATCAGTCTGAGTAATCTTGATTTTAAAAAGGTAGAATAACTTTAAGAAGGATGTAGAGGAAAAAAGCAAACATATAAACCTGCAAAAAATGATTTTTGATGTACTCATTTCCCAGTGTATTATGAAGTGAAAGGAAAGGAGAGATTATCTTCATCCTTTCCTAAGTGGAGTGCCAACCAGCCAAGTTCAGGGATTCATTCATGTGCATAAAATCACCAAACTGGCTATGCATTGTTTCAGTTTTCTTGAGGCAAATAAAAATGACACTCATCTAATAAGTCATTACTACTCTCCATCATCTTATCAGAGCAGGTATCACTTTTGTTAGGCTTATTTTGTCTGTTATTTTTACATGTTTAGATTGAGGTTATGCATTTTTGGCAATAATATCACAGAAGGGATGTGTCCATTTCTCTGCATTGTATCAGGAGGTACAGAATGTCATATGTCATTATAACTGGTGATATTAACTTTGATCATGTGGTTGATGTCGTGTACGGCAGGTTTATCTACTGTAAAGTTACTGTTTTGCATTCTGTATTGATAAATATCTTAGAGGAAGATATTCTGACACTACACAAATATCCTGTAATGTATCTCTTCTAAAAATGTGCATAATTTTAGCATGCAATCTTGCCACTAATAATTATTATTGTGTTATTCTAATGAAAATGTTCTATTTTCTTCATTTCTTCTACACTTATTAATCGGATTTATTCTGCAAAGAAGAACTACCCATTCTCCCACATTTATTTACTTATTCAATTATACATTTATATCAATTGGACACATGGATATTTACATTATTCTGTGAGCTATAATACAATGCTACATTATTTTGTTGCTCAAACTGTTGTATATTGGTCATTGAAGCTCTTTCACAGAGTCCCCTCTGCCCTTTTAATGTGCCCTCATCCTTTTATGAGCATTTCCTTACTTTTTGATGTCCAGGATGCTCTGGACTCATCTTGTATATTTTCTTTTCTTGACCTGGAATCAAACACTCCTCTTAAGCGCTCAAGTTCCTTGTAAAGGAGAGTGCAATTAAAACACTAAGGTCTGAATACCTGGTGTGCTCACTGCTACGGAAGTAGTATTGTTTCCAGGACTTCTCAGCTCACAAAGCTTAAAGCTTAGATTAAACACACATGCATAAAACATTTATATATTTTCTCTATCTAAATATTTGTACAAATATTTAGAAACCATATATTTATAATGATAGTTTCACCTATCACTCTAACAACCACAGGTTTTATTCTAGCTGTTCCACTTCAGTCCTAGTAATTTTTTCTCTGCCATTGAGAAACCAGAATCTCAGTATATAAAATGTATTTATTTATTTGTTCAACTTTATTATTTAGTCTCAAATTTCCTAACCCACATGCATTTGATTTAAAAAGTTTGCTAACTAGAGTGCAATATTTGTTTACTATTCTCTCTTGGTCTGTCTGTTCTGCTATAACATAATGCCTGACACTGGATAATTTATAAAGAACAGAAATTTATTTTCTCACAGTTCTAGAGGCTGGGAAGTCCAAGATTCAGTCACTGGCATATTTCAAGGGCCTTCTTGTTGCATCCTCTGCAGAGAAGAAACACTTTCCTCACATGGCAGACAGCAAAAGGCAAAGAGGCCAACGGGGGCCCAAATATGGCCTTTCATGACAATATTAATCCCACTCTTGAGGGTGGAACTATCACCTCCCAAAGGTCTCACCTTCTAACACTGCAACCAAATTTCAACATGAGTTTTGGAGGGAACAAATGTTCAAACCAAAACAATTATTTTTGTCTTTAACCTTACAATATTTAGTTAAAACACTGCTTTCCAAAGTAACTATAGTTAGTTTTCTTTTTGTTTCCTATTACACTATGTGTGGTTTTGTTGTTCACTTGTTGTTCATTTAGGTTCATAGGTCACAGTTTGTGTTTGATTTGGGATTCCCCCACATACTGGTTATTTTTGATTTACATACAGTAAAATTCACTTTTTGTAGTATGTAGCTTTATGGGTTTTGAGGAGTCATATATTCATAGTCCTGATACAAAACAGTCCATCACACTAAAAATTCTCTTGTTACCCACTCCATTTTCCTAAATCTGACAACTACTGGCCTGTTTTCAGTCTATAGTTTTCTTTTCCGTGATATCATATAAGTAGAAACATACAATATGTAGACTGGGGGTTCTCAGTGAGAGACAAATTTGTTCCCAAGGGGATATTTGACAATGTCTGAAGACATTTTTTGATTGGTAAGACTGGAGTGAGGGTTACTACTGACCTCTAGTGGGAAGAGGTTAGAGATGCCACTCAACCTCCTGCAATGCACAGGACAACCCCGGACAATAAAGAATTATCTGGCCCCAAATGTCGGCAGTGCTCAAGATGAGAAACCCTGACACACATTTTTGGGTCCAGCTGCTTTCACACTTAGCAACCAGATTCAAAGAATCACTTAAAAATTCATCCATGTTGTTTTCAAATCAATAGTTGTTGAATCAATGGTTTCTAACTTTTTTTTCTGACTAGTATTACATTGTGAGCCACATCTCACATAGATTGCCAATCCATTTACATGGGGAAGGATATCCTGTTGCTACCAGATTTTGGCAATTATAAGTTAGGCTGTTATAAACATTTATATGCAGGTTTTACGTGGACATAATTTCATTTGTCTTTGTCAGAAATGTGATTGTTTCTCCCAGTCTGTGTCTTCTTTTTCTCCTCATAATACTGTTGTAGATGAAAAAATAATTTTTTACAAGGTCCAAGTTTCTATGGATTGTGCTTTTGTTGTTGTATCTAAATACTCTTAGCTTAAACCAAGCTCATACAATTTTCCTTATGTTTTATTGTTTTATATTATTTGTCTATATTTAATATTTGTCTTGTGATCATTTTGAGTCAAATTTGTAAGGTGTGTGGCTTGGGTCAAGGTTTATTTTTGTACGTATGAACATCCAGTTGTTCAAGTTCCAGTTAAGACTATCCTTTCTCTGTTGAAATGACTGTACATTTCTCAAAAAAATTAAATTGACTATGTTTGGGTGGGTCTGTTTCTGGGCACTCTAATCCATTATATCTATCTAAAGGTGTGTCCTTCAGCTAATATCATACTGTCTTAACCACTATAGCTTCATAGTCAGTCTTGACATCTAGTAACGTGAATCATCTAACTTTTTACTTATTTTTCAAAGTTGTTTTGGTTATTTTGTTTCTTTTTTCTTTCCATAAATTTTATAATCATCTGTTAATATATATATTTAGAGAAAAAATCATTGGTATTTTGATTGGTATTGCATTTGATTTATAATTTAACCTTAAGATAATTGAATTTTTAACAAAGTGGGTCTTTCAATCCATTAACACAGTATATCTTTCCATTTATTTTGACCTTACTTGATTTCTTTTATCCACATAATTTTCTGCATACAGAAATATGCATGTATGCATTAAATATATATATATCTCATAATTTGTTTTATTGATGATGGTAGCATTCTTATCTTTTAAGTAATATGGTTCATTGCTAGTATGCAGAAATACGATTGATTTTCTGCAGAGTGATATTTTATCTTTAGATCTTTTTGAACTCACATATTAGTTCTAGAAGCTTTTTAAAGAGTCTATGGGATTTTCTATGGGATCAGTCATGTTTGTAAAGAAAGACATTATTATTTCTTTCCCTTTAATCTGTACACTTTTTATTCTTGCCTTATTAAACTAAGATTTCCAGTATGATATTGGCTTGGCTTGTTTCCAATCTTAGCACAAACATCCTTTGTTTATATCATTAAACATAATGTAAGTTAAATGTTTTTGTACCTCTTCCTTATTGAGTCAAAGAAGTTTTTATTCCCAGTGTTCTAAGATTTTTCCACATTCTATTCAATATCTATTCTTCAATAAATAGATATTGAATTTTGTCAAATCCAGTTTCTGCATCTAGAGTTAATCACATGATTCCTCTTTTTAAATATGATGTTAATATTGTTAATTTTATCGATCAATTCTTGCATGTTGAACCAGTTTGGTATTGTTGGGATAGACCAACTTTGGCTAGGATATGCAATTACTTTTATATTATGTTTTGGTATTAATTTGCTAAAATATTTTATCAGGATTTTTGCATCTATGTTTATGAGAGATATTAGCATGTAGTTCTCTTGTAATGATTTTTTTTTCCAGTTTTGGCATTACAACAGTGTTGGGCTCATATAATGTATTTTTATTTTCTTAAAGTGTCTGAAAGAGATTATGTAGAAATGGTATTATTTTTCCTTTAATGTTTGGTAAAGTTCACCAGTAAACCCTCCAGTCTGTAGGAGATTTTTTTAAAATAAGTTTTTTACCCAGTGAAACCCCGTCTCTACTAAAAATACAAAAAAAATAGCCAGGCGTGGTGGTGGGTGCCTGTAGTCCCAGCTACTCGGGAGGCTGAGGCAGGAGAATGGCATGAACCCGGGAGGCGAAGCTTGCAGTGAGCCAAGATCATGCCACTGCACTCCAGCCTGGGCAACAGAGCAAGACTCCATCTCAAAAAAAAATAATAAATAAATAAATAAGTTTTTCACCGAAAATTCTGCAGCCACCAGGCTCACCTGCCATTCCACACTCTACCAATTTGTCAACTATTCTTGCTGAATTCTCCTTAGTGTTGTCCAGTGTCTGTACTAGTTAAGCAAAGATTCAAATCCTGACTCGCTGCAGGTGCCTGTTTCTCCCCAGATATTAGGTTAGCAGATTGCCCTGGGATGGTCTCTCTCTAATGACTGCCAATCAAAACCACAATGAAATACCATGTCATACCAGTCAAAATTGGTGTTATTAAAATGTCAAAAAATAACATGCTGTGAGGTTGTGGAGAAAAAAGAGTGCTTACACACTACTGGTGGGACTGTAAATCAGTTCAGCCATTGCAGAAAGCAGTTTGGCAATTTCTCATAGAACTCAAAGCAGAATTACCGTTTGACTCAGCAATCCCATGACTGGGTATATACTCAAAGGAATATACATTGTTCTGCCATAAAGATATGTGCACGTGTATGTTTACTGCAGCACTGCTCACAGTAGCAAAGACATAGAATCAACCTATATGCCAATCAATGGTAGACAGGATAAAGAAAATGTGGTACAAATGCACCATGAAATACTATACAGCCATAAAAAAGAATGAGATTATGTCCTTTGCAGTAACATGGACAGAGCTGGAGGCCATTATGCTAAGTGAACCAACACAGTAACAGAGGGCCAAATATCACATGTTCTCACTTATAAATGGGAGCTAAATATTGAGTACAGATGTTCACAAAGAAAGGAACAACAGACACTGGGGCCTGCTTGAGGGTGGAGAGAGGGAGGAGGGTGAAGATCAAAAACCTACCTATTGGGCAGCATACGTAGCATATCTACCTATGCTTATCTCCTGGGTGGTGAAATACTCTATACACCAAACCTCTGTGACATGCAATTTACCTATATAACAAACCTCCATGTGTACCCCTGCACCTAAAATAAAAGCTCTAAATAAATAAATAAATAATTCAGAAAGAAAAAGAAAAGCTATGGATTTGGAGTTTTTGTAGATTTTTCTTGGGAGAACAATATTCTTTCCAGCATTTTACATCACTGAATAGAAGTTGGAAATCTCTTGAAGTGTTAAATATTTAGTAACATATATTATTTAATTTCCAGAATATTTTTATTCCTTGTCTATTTAGATAGTTTAAGCAGTATATAATGTTTCAAACATTGTTCTATTATTATGGTGATTCTCGTCATCTGTTTTGCATCTGTTGACCTTCTCCTGATAGTGAGTACCTGGTAGTGTTGGTAGTTTGTCATCTTGTGTGATCTGCAATTTTGAACATGAACACATCTTCTGGTCTTTTTTGTTCTTTTCTTTTTCTTTATTCCCACATCTATACACTGAATTGTGGGAATTACCTGCAGAGCAATTTTCTGTTTGCCTCTGAAGGAGCTCTGATGATGAAATTAGACAACACTCTTGCATTTAGTGCTAACCTGGGATTTTTATTACTCATAAGTGAACTTTGCTTTTATTTTTCTGCTCACAACCCTTGATGCTTCCACAGGCTTCCTAACTTTTCCTCAGTTATTTAGCAATTTTTCTTGGCCAAGTTTCACTGACAAAAATCTTTTGAGGCTTCCAGTTTTGCAGAGGATTTGAACATCCTCCTCCCATAAGTTCTAAATTACAACTCCTTTTGCATAATCTGATGTACTTATCTTTTCTGGCATTAGTTTACACTTTCCATGTTGGCTTGTCAGAAATTATACCATACATAGTTTATGTACATCTCCAAATTCAGTTCACTGTGATTTTCTGTTTAATTGTAGTGATGACCTTCCAGGAAAGTCAACTTACAAAAAGGACACTGTTGCTAGTAATACGTGTCCCAGCATCATAATTATTAAGTTTGACCTGTGTCTAATTAAGAAATTAATGGATGCTGCACTTGATCAGTTTGGGAGAAGTTGTTAATTATAAGTATTGTGATGAAGGGTAGCTGTTTATTCCCTAGTAAATATAGGCTAAGGATTTTTTTTTTAGGTTGTGTGTCTGGCATTTGTAACTGTTTCTATCAGGTAAGACAGAACTTTTTATATAGCAGCTTAGTCTATCATGTAAGTTAATTCTCCAAAAAACAACAGAAATGTATATGATAACCTAGTCAGCATTTGCCTGAAATCAGTGTCAAACTTGGTGGTCTAAATACTTTTCAAAATCATCTCTTGAAAATGGGAAGAGAGATTTCTGAAAAACCTGGGCTCGGAAGCCAAGCTTCCTGAACTTGGAGCCCATCTCTAATGCTCAAAAGATGTAAGTATTTGAATGATTCAAACCTTTCTCTGCTAGTTTTCCTCCTCTGTCGAGAGGATTAAATGAAATAATATAGGTAAAATACAAATTAATATTGGCTGTTTCACCCCTCTCCAATGTCAGTCTCCCTCTCACCTTCTGTATACGTATAAAGAGAGTGACCTTACGTATGTGAATATATTTACACGTATGTGTTTACATTTGTACATGTTTATATATATACATACTTATAAAGCACAATATATATTATATATCTATGTTTATATACATATATATCATTAACATCACCAAGATTATTTCCATGACCTCACTTAGAAATGTCTTCAATACCCTGCACAAGAAACTTGAGCTCATTTATAATAACTAGGAGGTCTTTTACTACTTCATCATCAATCTTGGGCTTCCATTTCTTTTTAGCAATATTTGTTTACCTTTCTAGGTTGACGATCATTTTCTGTTAAAGAAAAACTCATACAAAATATCTGAAGTGTTTTCACATGCACTCCTGTTGTCTGTATGTATTTGGCTAATGCCAACCTGCTTCTTCCTTCTTCAAACATTCTCTGTTACCATGAAGTTTTCAACCAACTCAATTTTTGTCTGGATTTCATTGAAGATAAAGACGAGTTTCTACATTGATAATGTAAAATGCATCAACTCTTTAAGCCTGATTTAATGAAAAAGGCATTACAATGGGAGCTAAGCCTTCAGATTTATTATTCAGGCTCTATTTTTTTCTCTTCGTATAACCTTTGAGAAATCACCTAACTTAAGACCTACTATGAAAACATATGGGGTTGGTGTTGGAGATAAATGAGAGTTTTCTTTATATATACTTAGCCTCAATTTTTGATAGAGTAGTATATTTTTATTTTAAATTATGTCATAACACTGAAATGTTCAGAGAATAACATAGGTTAACATGAATAAACTTCCCCATTAATAAATATTAACAATTATGTTTTGTTTCTAATAAAATAAAAAGAATATTATGAAAAAAATTAAATCGCCCTTTTCTATTCTCAAATATTTTAGGTTTTTTTCTCATAAAAAACAATTACATGCTCTTTAATGTAGTCATTTTATATAGGCATATCTAAATGAAGTATTTTTTAATGTACATCTTATACCCATCATTTTGCCATGTGCTCTTCACTCAACATTAAAATTTTTAAATCTGTGTTTATATATACACTGCTTAGTTTTCATTAATAATCTGTCTATGAATAGACAATAATTTGTATACCACTTCGTCACTTGATAGAAATAAATATTGTTTTTACTTTTTATAATTATACACATTTTCTTCACAAAGCAGTCTTTTGTTCAAATGCCCAACCTTACTTAGATTTAGCAGTGATATTAAAATAAATGATAGAAAAATGATTTCTAATAAGAGAGAAATCTGTATCACCTCCAGAAACTCTCTCTACATTGAATAAAGCAAATTAAATTGCCTTACATTCCAAGTAGAGAAGTGCTGCCTTTTCTTCTCTGCCAAATCTTCAGAAATACAATCAAAGATTTTATACATTGAAAACTACTCTACCAGGTCATTTGTAGATAATAATCTCTTATTATAACTTTTTAGTTGTGCTTCCAGATGAGTTATTTAATTCATCAACATTTATTGAATACTGTGTTTTTTTACTGATAGCAAAAAAGAAGATGGCATTAAGTGCCCTTAAGAAGTATATACTAATCAACTGCTGCAGAATATGTGTTATGTATTAGAATGCATGGGAAGAAATGAGAACTTCAGGTGAAATGGTTATAGAAATGTATGAGCAAGTGATTTGAGTCACACCTTCATAGATGGCTAAGAGAGGCAGAGAAGAATTGAATTGCCCAAAATATGTGAGTATATTGAAAATTTAACTCTGTAGATTGCAAGTTGGACCGTGCACAGAATTCAGAGCAGACTTTTCAGGAAGCGAAATGGAGGGAGACATACAGACTGAATTTTATGCAAAGTTAAAAATCCTGGGCTTTAATTTTTACAGACAGAAAATGGAAAAAAAGAGTATTTATAAAGGAAAATTGTATGATACAATTAGTGTTATATGGTGTGATGCATTTATTTGATAGTGCCTAATCGACATAAAGATATGATTCTACACAAGTTTTTGTACTTTTTGCATTCTATTAGTTTTAGGTTCAATTGAAGTGAACTATAAAACAAATGTATATTCATTGTATTTTAAATTAACTAATGCTCTTGGGAATATTCATTTTTCTAGTTTAGACAATTTTAAAGTGTCTCTAGGTATATGAATTGCTAAAATTTTCTATTTATTTGGATATCAGCAAAACATTTCAAACAAGAATTTCAGCTAGTGTCAGAATAATAATAGTGAACAGCACAAGAGAGTTATTAAGGAATTTAGATACATTAATTGATAAATTCAGTACAGGTAAGATATTTTGCTGATATTTACACTTTTAAAACCG
Source organism: Homo sapiens (assembly GCF_000001405.40). Classification (NCBI taxonomy): domain Eukaryota; kingdom Metazoa; phylum Chordata; class Mammalia; order Primates; family Hominidae; genus Homo; species Homo sapiens. The sequence goes on from NW_021160014.1 coordinate 41,854, forward strand.
TTAGGAAGGAGGATCTTAATTAAAATTTATTTTGATAATCCCATGTGTTTTCTAATGTCAGGGTTTTAATCTACTACATTTAAATGCAATGAACACAAATTATGCAGAAAAAAATAGTCTTTACTTCCATATTTATGACAGTATTTAACAGAAAAAAAAAACCTTGGTACATGCTTTACAACACGATAAGAAATATATTTTTATAATTTTAGAATTTATTGCTCTTGCTTATTATGTAGGTTAAAACTGCAGAAGCAAAGCAATAGTGATTCACCTCCACGCTTCATGTATGTTATTAAAATGCACTGGATGAATTTGATGTAATTTCTAATGTCTTCAAGAATTGAGAGCTTCCATCTTTACCCCATAACATTCCTAAAAAAGAAAATATCTGTTACTATGATTTAGATTTTTATAGTATGAATTAAAAATAAGCATGATTCTTGGATGAGTTAAAAAGTAAAACATAAAAGCAGAGAAGTCATATTACAGCATTTTTAAGTGTTCCCAGGTTCTTGGTGGTAGCCTCAGGCCCACAATGAGGAGTGCAGTCAGGTCACACCAAAAGAAAACAACACAGTAACCAAATGACATTTCTGTATCTCTTATTTATTCAGCAGAACTGTGAGCTCATTAACCAATATCTCCTTTCCGGTCTCCAGGTGGACATTATCTATGATTCCCTTAGCTATCATTCAGTTTTTCTTATATAACAAAAAAGCCCCAAATGCCTTAAAGCTGCAAGATGTAAAGCCACAAGCATTTGTTTATTTCATAATTCTACAGGTAAGCAATTTGGTCTGGGCAGTTCTTCTCATGTTAGTGTCTGAAGTCAGCTGCTGGGGGCTCGCCGTCTAGGATGGCCTCTGCTGGGAAAGTTCAACACAGCTTGCACATGGTGTCTCAGCTCCTGCGGGCCAGCAGGAGCTTGTTCACATGGTATTGGCAGGGTTCAGAGAGAGTAGAATCATGCCAGCTGTTTTAGGGCTTAGTCTCAGAGCAGACACTCTGTCACTTTCATCACATTCTATAGCCAAAGAAAGTCACTGGGACTTTCCAGATTCAGGGAGATGGAGGGATAGTCTCCACCTCTTGTTGGGAGGACCTGGAAATTCACACTGCAAAGTGCATGAATATTGTGAGGGAGAAAAACTATTTCTATAATCTATCACACTTCCATTACTCTTAATGTAGCATTATACTCTCCTCCAATGACCACATAAGCAAGCTCAGACAACCAATGTTTTCACATATAATATATGTATGAATGTCTATACACATATCATTTGCATATGCTTTTTACATTTCATGTAAATGATAGTATAAATTGTTATGATTTTTGTTCTGTTAATTCAATATTATTTTTGATTGCCATGAATATAGCTATAAATGCAATGATTTACCTTTGATTAGAACATTTTATTGCATGACTATATATGCAAATATAAATACCTAATACATCACTATCATTTACCGTATTTATGGGCTTTGAGTGTTTCTAGATTTTCATTATTCCCCAAAGTGTAACAATTAACACCCATCCAAATATCTTGTGTGTGTATATATATATATATATACACACACAAGACTTTTATCAGGGAATATACTTAGAATTAGAATTCTGATGGGAAATTTACCTTTTCAATTTCATCATGTAAGTTAAATACAAATTTCTTTCCAAAGTGACAGTATCAATTTGCAACCCCAGCAACAGTATATTAGAGCTTCTATTTCCGGTATTCTAGCCAATACTAAATGTCATCAGGATGTAAATTTACAAATGAAAAATATCTTATTATTGAAATAAGGTATAAATTGTTACTTTCCCATATAATACTACATTCTCTCAAAAATTCTGGTATTTGTCCAAGGGAAATTGAATTGAAAAGCTTTCTGAATAACACAGAATGATAGTATTCACCAGAACTCTCTTTGAGTGTGTGTGGACTCTACATTAAGTGTTTCTCGACTCTCCCATTAGCAACCACTTCAATTGCTAATGAGTACTAATATTTCCTATGATTCCCTTCAATTCTGATGGGCGCTTGGTCGGACATAGGATGAGAAATGCTTTAGGATCGTTAGCTAAAAAATGCCTACTCAGTTGTCTTCTCATCAATTTCTTTTCTCTTTGATTCCAACCTCAGTGGGTACATTCCTCCAGCCTTCCTCAATTTTTGTGGAAAGACATAAATTAGTAAAAGTTCTAGAGAACTCCTTGGATTGAACTAGGTCTAAAGATTTTTCTAAGTCTTAAAAATTATCATATGTAAACTAATTACTCATTTAAAGCAGAAAATATGAATATAACTTTAAAACTATATATCAAGTATCTGGAACAAAAGTGAAAAAATCTGTCAGTCATGCAAATGTCGTTCAAAAGTTACAAACATCGAGATGTTTACACATTTTAGACAATGTAATACATATTTTGAAGAATGGTTTATGTTTGTGTAATTGTAAATTTCTAGTCCACTCAGGTCTGATAAATTAAGGTTTAGGTACATATATCAGGGATAGTTAGCTCTTGTCTGAATGCCATTTTAATAGAATACTATAGTAGGACTTTATAAGCAAAAGATTATTTAAATAATAAAATAGGTATTTACTTAATAAATACTAATAATGTATTATTTGTTAGGGAAGGTACTAAGCATGCAAAGATAAATAAGAAATAATCTCATGAGGATCTTACAAATGTAAACAAACATGTATAGCAAACATGTCTGTATATATTATGATATATATCACATTATAATTATATAAAATACAGTAAAAATAGTGCTAAGAATATAAATTACAAAAAGATATGTGTATGTGCTTGTGTGTGTGTGACAAACTAAAAATAAAATTCTAAGACCCCCAACTGACTGAACGGGCCATCCTTTGGCCATAGAGACCCCAGAGTAGCCTTGAAAATTAAGTCATTGGCCGTGATAAGAAGGGATAGGAGGTTGAACATGCCTCTTTATACATTGCTATCCCTCGCCAACTGCCATTAGTCTTTCTTCCCTAAGGGCTAAACAGATACCAGCCCTTTCAAGAAATGTCACCACTGATATCAACCAACTACCTGATGCTGCTACCCTTCTTTTTTTTTGCCTGATAAGAGGCCACTCAACACAGAGAGTTTCCAGACAGTCTATGGAGAATGCAGAGTAAGAGTTTTCATGTCATCTGATTCACTGTTTGACATCAGAGGGCTAGAAACTCCACCTTTGAAACATAGTAACCCTGACATTTTTTTGTACATAGGACCCAGGGAGAGTCATGAAGCTCAGCTGCACACCTTTCCTAACTATTTATGATTCCACGTATAACTTACTTAAAACTTGTATTTGGCCACCTCATTCAGCATAAATTCCTGTTCCCTTCCCTTTGCTCCTCCCTCAAAGTATCTGCTTCTGGCTTCTACTGGAAGCTATGCTTCCCAGCCTGTCAGAATGGCCACCCTGCAGGCTGTAACCCTTTATAAGAAATAAAGTCTCTTCCTCTCCTTATCTAAATTTATAAATTGTATTTTTAAAGTTAATGGTATATTTATTCAATAATTTAAATTAAGTCTAAAAGACAGATTATAAATATCATCCACCATTGTTCAGTTCAGATATTTGGTTGCAAGATGAACTATAGCTGCCTCCAAGAAATCTATAGAATGAGACTTACAAACCCACAGGAACAAAAATAACAGCAGAGAAACTACTGCACTGATTTCATTGCAGAAACAGGTTTATTTTCAAGGCTTAATCACGGGGACAAACCAATGCTAACTAAATTCATTCTCTTAGTAACTCCACAAATTTAAATTTCAGGGAAGCAGTATTCAATTTACCAATGGAGTACAGAAAATCTAATAGAGTACCACAAGATGATAACCAGCAAGAAAAGTCTTATTCCCAAGGAACTTGGATTCTCTTGGGAAGAATGCATGGATGCAGGAAGGCCAAGAAACAACACTGACCACTAAAAGCATTGCATCCAAAAGATATCTTCTATGGACTAAATTTATGTGCCCCTACCCCCAAATTAATATGTTGAAATCCTGACTCAAAATACTAGGATGGTATTAGGAGGTGGAACCTTTGGCAGTAATTAGGTCATGAAGTTGGAGACCTAATGAATGGGACGTATGCCTTTATAAGAGGGACTATAGGTCTCTCACCTTTTTTCTGCCATATAAGGATACCATGAGAAGAGGGTCTGCACCAGAACCCAACCATATCCTGAACTTCCACCTTCCAGAGCTGTGAAAGATGAATTTGTAGTTTATAAGCCACTCAGTCCACAGTAGTTTGTTACATAAGCCAGAATAGATTAAGACAATATCCGTATGTATGTGTTTTGTCCTGATTATCAATTTTTCCTGATTTGTAGGTACTCAGAGGTGACTATGATCCTGCTTTCCTTTCTCCAATTCCATCTTGATCCTTTGGTCTTTTCTATTATGTTTCACTCATAATATATTATTGATATTTATTTCTGGCACCCTCCACCAGCCCCCCTTTATTTTTCTCAATGATGCTGAGGTTTAGAATTGTTTTTTGGCTTAACTCAATGTCCCATGGTAAGTACTATTCACTCAGTTATTCATTTAAGAAATAGTAATTGAATTATGCATGCTTCTAGGTAATAGAGGTAAAAGGATAAGCAAGAAAAAAAGCACATTTTGTTGATGCTTGAAATTGAGTGTTTTTCATCTATTTTTTTCCTGTTAGTTTAGTCTTTATTTTTCTTTTTAAACTTCTTAAATTGTTTCTTCTCTTACCTATTTTTCCCACCCTGCTACTTCTTTTATTCTAAAATATCTTATTTATTGGTAGGAGATACTTATTCAGCTCTCTTGAAATACGTCATTTTGAAAAGAAAGAATTATATTCTCATTAATACTGCCAATAAGTTAGTTAATTCCTCCAGGAATCAAACTCTTGACTTCCTGGTTTCAAAGTGCAGGAACATAGAGTTGACTTTTCTTTGAAGCCCTCTAATATTAATTTAAGGCAGATGTCAAAGATGTTGCCCATCCCAACCAATCAGTCATCAGCATGGAAACTGATAGAAACTCTAGTGTTTCAATATAGTTCTGTTCAACACACACATTTATTTAAAGACTAGCGATTTCTTTTCAAGATGTTTTGCCTTGCTTCCCCTTAAATTAGAATGAATATCTTTGCTTAATATTATATATGTAAATAGTTTTCCATCCTCTTCCAATTTTCCCCCCATCCCCCACCATCTCACAACAATTCACATCCCAAAACAAGCATGAATGGAGACGTTAGGAGAGATTGAGGATGCAATCTGCATCCTTAATTTGACCTTGGAGGTCTCATTTTATCTTCCGCTTCTAAACACTCAGTGTCTAAGGACACACAACGCTTTCCTACTATGTTGAGAAATTTTCATATGTATCCAAATTGTATGCATCAGCTTTTAGTTGAGTATGTCCTCCTCTGTGCGTACATAGGACCAAGCAACAGATATAAACCAATAATGAATATGTTTTGAAGAATGACCATGGAAATTTCAACTCGAGAGGACCTGGGAAAGAAATCCATGGCCAAATAAGTTTAGGAAACATGATATCCTAAAATCCTCACTTGCAGATTCATAATGCATATGAAAGGTATTTATATGCATAACTTGTGTGTATAGATGTATATAGATGTTTGTGTCAGTGTAAAATATCCATTAACATCCTGCTGATCTGGTGTTTTATAGAACAAAGTTTAGAAAATAATAACTTCAGTGGCTTATACTAATACAAGTAAAGTGATGGCAAACACTCAGAAGAAGGAAATTTTCAGAGTATGATTGGTGGCTGTGTTTATCAAATAAAAATGTGTTTAAATGAGGACTACACTATTGCATGATAAGAGGATGAAATCTGTGCCTAAACTTGGAATATATGGGAAAATGTCAAAAAGAGATATATATTTATTCAGTAAATATATAGTACTCACCTACTGTGTGTCTGGCCTTGTCAAGGCATTTGGGGTAAATCAGAAAACAGTGCTGAGAAAGCTCTCTGCCCTTAGGCAGTTTATTTTCTAAAAGAGAGGAGACACACAACACTCTATAACCAACATGCAAATAGAATTGTATGATACCAGATGACAATTATGATGGGAAAAAAAGTAAGGAATGTAAGAGATGCTGGAGAGAGGAAAGAAATAACAATTTTATATAGGGTGGTCAGTATACATTTCAGTGAAAAAGTGACAACTGAAGAAACATTAAAGGAGACAATGGAAAGGCAAAAGGAACAACCAATGGAAACATTTTACTGTAGGAAAGTACCTGGCATGTTGAAGGAAGAACAAGGAGTCCAATGTGAGAGAGAACAAGGCTGAGAGTGTAGAAGAGAAAATTAGAGATGTGAAGGGGGTCTGGTCATGGAAGGTTTTGTAGTCCAATATAAAACTTTTATTTTATTGAAATGAAGAAGCCATAAAAGCTCTTGATATGAAATAATGCACAATTTCAAAGGGTCACCTTGGCAAAGGTGCTCATACATCCTGGGTTTGTCTGGTCTGTTGTTCCCCTATTGTCCCAGGTAAACTATTAATTGTTTCCTTTAACTCTCAAAAGTGTCCTGGTTTGGATGATAAATTATATGGTCCCCCTAACTTTTCCTGTTGTGTTATAAATTAACTTTGGGGGAAAAAGATTTAATGCAGATCTACAGCACTTAAGAAGCTTATACAGAAAGAACACTCATAATTACAATGGATACCAGTCTCTGGGTGACCAACTTGGCTTTAAAACTGAAAGTTCCACGTCTCAGAAATCCCTTCATTCCCTGGCAAAGTAAGACAATTAGTCATCCTAAAAATGTTGACAAAGAAAAATGTTATACATGAAGCAAAGTGTAGATATGAGATCAGAAAATATAAACTTACTTTTTTTCTTTTAAAATTCTTAGGCAGAAAGTGCTCTATCAATATTATTTGGTTGTAAAGATGTTTCCACCAATTAAGAAAACACTTATCAAAATGGGTAGTTAAGGTGACTTTGAAGTTCCATTATAATAAGGAGATATAGTGGTTGAATATTTAATAGTTGGGTTTTTGTTTGTTTGTTTGTTTGTTTTTTGTCAGAGTCTTGTTCTGTCGCCCAGGTTGGAGTGCAATGGTGCTGTCTTGGCTCACTGCAACCTCCACCCCCTGGGTTCAAGTAATTCTCCTGCCTCAGCCTCCTGAGTAGCTGGGATTAGAGGCACATGCCACCATGCCTGGCTAAGTTTTGTATTTTTAGTAGAGACAAGGTTTCACCATATTGGCTAGGCTGGTCTCGAACACCTGACTTGAACTGATCCACCCGCCTTGGTCTCCCAAAGTGCTGAGATTACAAGTGTGAACCACTGTGCCTGGCCTTAATAGGTTCTTAAAGTTAGGATTGTTGCTTTTGTTTCTTTACAAAAGAAACTAGTAATAAATGACTAGTAATAAATGATCGTAGGACATTTTGGACTGATAGAAAATAAAGGTATTATGAGAATAGTCCTAACTTCTAAGGTGGACAGAAAGAACACTTGCAAACAAGTATACTTTTCCATTAAACAACATTTGCAAGCAAGATTTTCAAACAAATACTGTATTTCGAGATAACTTTTCCAATGTTATCATGAACAACACTTAGGATGTATGAAGGCAAATATTGAGTAAATTTCTTATTTCTCTCCCTTTTTAAGGGCAGTCAATATATTAGAAGAAATATTTTTTTGTCACAAAGACACCTTTTGAAAAGATTTTATAACCTTAGGAAAGTCTTGTGAAAATTTACTAAGAAATTCTTTTGACTTAGTTTAGGTGAAGAAGTTGTCTAATACTGTCTTGGTCCCAATATCTAAGAGATATATTCTGCTGATTTCTGACATTTCATTAAAAGAAATGGCAAAAATTGCAATTACTTTTATACCAACCTAATAATCTAAAACCGTTTGCAATAGAATTGTTTTAAACCTAGAAAAACTGTGGATGAGGGTTTATCCACTATTCTAATCAAATACAAATTTTACCCAATGGTATAAGCCATATTCCAACTACCATAAAACAAATTTAAAATATCATTACTTAAGTGAAAATTAGAAGTTCATTGAGAAAAAAAAGCAATATTTTTCCACACTAAAGCAAAACAAATACATCTTTGTTTCTTCAAATTGCATCATTTTCTCAACTGACATTTTTCTCAATAGATACAGATTAAACCATGCTGCCAGGCTTTAGCCTTTGAGTCATTCATAAATCTTCCTAAATGACTTTAGGATTCATTATCTTACCCCATTTCTACCACTAATTGATTTAAATGAAATATTTGCCATTTAAGGCACAGATGTCACTGCAAGAACAGGTTTCCCTGCTTCCAGCTCCTCATCCAATTTCTATCACATTGAATGGTAAACCTAATCTTTCTAATGCACTTTGAGCTTATCATGTAATGTCTGGAAAACTTGTGGATGGTTTTCGTCCTTCTGTACAAATTAGGACTCTTCCTAAAACCTCATCTTTAGTCTCATTACTCTTCAGGACAAGATTTCCAATCTAGTAAGATTAGTCTCCATATTCTTCTTCCTAATTCCTTTTGTTTAATTCCCTCTACTGTCAAGCGTTTTTAGTTTAATCCTGTCTAGAAAATATAAATAGTTTAATGTACTGCTCAGACACTAAGATTTTCTCCTCATCTATGTTTGCCATTATAGACTTCTCCCTTCACTTAAAATGTATAATTGGACTCATAGACATCCAGTTATTATTCTCTTTTTGTTTAATATAGTGTAACTAGTCCCCCCAAATTAGTATTTATATGCCTTAAATGCAAAAAAAGCTAGGTCTTATATTTTTCTTGTCATAGTTTGCATACCTAGAACACTGTTGGACATATAACCAAGTCAGTCATGTACTTATTAATTTATTGACTAATATCTGAAGCTGTTTCCAAACCATAGGTAAGAGTATGAATTTTAGAGAAAACTCTAAAACTCAGTAACTCTTCTGTTAGACCGACTGAAATGAACTGAAGGTCAAGATTTAGAGCCTTAGCTAAATTAGACAAGATGCTAAATGTTCACACATTTTTATCAGTCACCACTTGAGAGCTTTAGGAAGAATTTTGTTTGTTTCTTGGATTTTTATGTGTTGCATTTATTTCTGTGACTTCAGAAAGTGTCACTCTATGGATCTGTCTTCTAAGTTTAGGAATGAGAAGTAACAGTTTTTACATATAAAGCTATATTGAATATTAGGGATCAAACAGTGAATGCATCACATGGTATGTAATTGGAATTCCCAAATAGAAAAGAAGATAAAATTGTGTTCGTAATAATTTTTAAAACTCAACAACAAATTTAAAAAATACTTTAAAAATTAAAAAATGAACTTAAAATTGAAAAAAATAACATTTATCATACAAAATATTTCAAATGCTCTAATAATCATAAAATAAATAACAATAGAGAATTAGTCAAAAGAATTAGACTGGCATGTCATAAAAGTAAATATATTTAGCTAATAAACACTTGAAAATATACAAAACCTCACCTATGGTTGAAACAATGAAATATTACCTTTTGCATAAAAAATAAAGATTGAAAAACTTGATAATTGAACTGCTATCAGAGTTTTGGGGAAATGCTCTTTCCCACATCACTGGTAGTAGTAGTAATGGGCATCATTGGCAGATTTTTCATAAGCCAATTTAGAAATAGCTTCAGATTTCTGAATATACACTCATCGTTCATCAATTCCCTTTCTAAGAATTAATCCCTATGTTTTAAACATGCATGCAAGTAGTATGTATATACATATATATATATACTTTTTTTATAGTGGAATAATAAAACGGAATATGAAAATAAATTATTAAAACAGTATAGTAAACCTATTTGTGCTGATATGTTCATAATATCTCCATTTCTTTAAAATATATGTATATATGAGTATTTGTGTGTGTGCATGTGTGCATGCTCATGGGTATGAACAGAAGCTTTCTGAGAGGATATGTCAGACACTATTATCCTTAGTCTACTCTGGAAATTGGAACCAGATGTCTTGTATAGCAGGAAGATTAACTTTTCAGCATATATCATTTGTAATCTTTGCAGTTTTAATCATATGAATGTATTATTTTATAATTATAAACTAATTGACTTACTACCTTATATTTATACCATCGATTATCTTTTGTATATTTTATATTGGAAGTTAAATGTGTATTTATGTGTGAATATGTGTTTGTATGTGTACCAATGTATATGTGTGTGTGTATACATATGCACACCCACTGTACAAGTGTACATTTATATCTATATTTTGTATTAAAAAGATTACAAAGAACAAAATGAAGCAAATTCTTCAATAGGGGAAAAACCTAGTCTATATAATCCTGTACCTAATTCAATTTAACCAACAAAAGGGGACCAAAGAGATTTTGGTTAGTTCATGTTCACTTAGAGAATAAATTAAAACTGGTATTGAGACCAAACTCTGCAGGTCATGTATCAGTCTAAGGCTATTTCCATGTTTTTCTCTATTAATAAATTTATATTTTTATTTATATAAGGCATTTTTATATTTTAATTATTATGTAACTCTTTGTTAGCTTTGCTGTTTCAACAAGAATTTCCCATTTGCTATTTTTCTTAAATATTTCCAATTGATTGCAATGCATTTCTAATTAAATTTCTTTTTTTTGTTGTTGTTCTTATTGGTTTTTATCCTCTTTTCTTTCCACACGAATGAAGTTTTAAGACATTTTTTTCTTTGGCCTTATTTTGCTTTGTTAAAGTTCAAAAGTTAGTAAGATAACTTTAACTTTGCATTTTCATTACTTTTTACATTTTTTATCCCACATGTGTTTTCACTATGGTTGGTTTTTATTGGTACCAATATGAATTATGACATGGAAAATTTGCTTGGGAAATATCAGAACTGCTATTTTCTACGTTCCCTCTGGAAAAATGTTAAAGATGGCATACTGATTTTATAATATCAATTTATTTATAGAAATTGCATCAGAGATTTCATTGACTTAAAGTCTAAGAATTTATCGAAGAAAGCAAAAATAGGTTTTATGTAAATAAATGAGTAAGTGTTATAATATTTGTAAGAAAGCTTTGGAATACCAAGACTAAATTGTAAACATTTTAATGTTCCTTAGGTCATTGTTTTTCAACTTTCAGGAATGTATTTATAGAGGCAGTAGAATAAAAATTGCTGCAAATTATTTGCTTTTCCTCTCATTAAGAAGTGGGAATTCTCTTTCTTATATATCTGGACTAGCCCTAGTCACTTGTTTGACAAATAGAAGGCTGTAAACTTCCAAGGTTTGGAGAGTTCCAAGGTTAAGTCCTTAGAGCCTTCCAGAGTCCCCCTGGCTTCCTGGAATGTTAGCCTGAAGTGGGAAGCATAGTAAAACAGATACCAAGTAAGAAGCCTGACTAAGTTGAGATCACTTAAGTCTATCTTGGGATGCCCATGCTATGAAGAAATTCAGGCTAGATATGTGAAAGGGCTCCATGGAAACAATACACGGCCAGTCCCAGATGTTCCATCCAACTAGTTAGGCATCAGACATGTGAATGTGGAAGCCATGCTTAAGATTTCATCCCCGGAAGAAAATGTGATGTTAAGAAGAAACAAGTCAGCTGACTGTCAGCTAGAATTGAGGTTTTCTATAAACATCCATAAAAAAGTAATTATTATGGTTTGACTATTTCTGCCCATTTCCAAATTAGTATGTTAAAATTTAATCTCAATGCAATAATATTAAGACATGAGAACTTTAGGAGTTGATTAGTTCATGACAGTGAAACCCTGATGAATGGGATTAGTGACCTTCTAAAAGAAGCTCAAGGGAGCTTGTTCATGTTGAAGATAGAGTAAGAAGGCACCATATATGAGGAATGGGGCCATCATCAGACACAAAATCTCTTGGTGCCATGATTTTAAACCTCTCAGTATCCAGTACTATGAGCAATACATTTATTATCAGTCTATGGTATTTTGTTATAGCAGCCCTAACAAAGTCAATAGTCAATAGTCCATAGTTCAGAACAAAAACTGAATGCTTTTATTCAGAGTGCGTGCAGAAATGTGAGAGACTCAAGGGGAACTTTCTCCACTGGTACACTGGTACAAGTGACTACATGGGTTAAAATTTCACACATGTAATTGAAAAGGAAGAAGGAAAAATGAATGAATATCTAAATTATTAGCTATTTAGGCTGGAAGCCAATAGTTACTCATCCTACTGTCAAATACAATTTATGTGAGCTTTGAGAAGTCATTAAAATTCTGTCATTTTCTATATGTGACTTCTGGTAAATCATCTGAGTTTTTCTAGTATGTATGCAAAATGAGGTTTATCATTAAAAAGATTCATTTTTATCTCTTAATAATATCACTGCTCTATTGGGGTAGGAGAATAGCAAAATTTAAACAAAATTTAAAAAGAGTAATTACTTATTTTAGAAATTTATTCATGGCATGAACAGATATCATGTCCCAGATTGCTGAGAAGCTAATTAAACCAGTACTTCAGGACCAATATTCTTAGAAAAAAAAGCAAGAATCTGGCTATTAGCAAAAATTGTCTATCTGGTATCACTGCTGGATATTTCATAATATTAATAGCATTTAATTTGAAAAAATAGTTTCAATTTAAAATGAGATTATAAATGTTCCATTTTATATAGTTGAATTAAATTACCATTAGGCAGATGACTCAATTTTCCATGTATGCACATATGTGATGGAGAAGTGTTAAACATTTATTGCTGTCTATAACACTGGAAAACAGGATACAAGAAAATTTTGTCATTTAAAGTTATCAATAGATTTATGACTTGTGGCATAGACTGGGCAAGGCTCATGAAATCAGAGTACTGGATGGGTACTTGTGGAGTACTCTTCATTTAACTCATTAAGCCTGGTATTCTTTTTTAAAATGTATTTATATTTGAATGCAACTCTATACAGTACCTTATTTTCTCAGAAATGATGGCAAATAATATATCTGTGACTATTTGTTCAGTAGGGATGAAAGCTTTAAATGGTGAAATTACCAACTCATAGATACTATGTATTTTTAGTGAAGGGATATGTAGTGACTAAAGTTTAGTGACTTTGAAGGGAAAAGATTCTCATATAATTTCTGGGGAAAAACTGATTTTAAAAAATAATGAATATACCTATCATATTTGTTCAGTGGGGATGAAAGTTAAAATGGTGAAATTACCAACTCATAGACACTATGTCTTTTCAGTGAAGAGATACGCAGTGACTAAAGTTTAGTGACTTTGAAGGGAAAAGATTCTCATATAATTTCTGGGGAAAAAATTGATTAAAAAAATAACGAATATACAACTATGATTTCAACTGACATACTATACAACTGAGATACTAGTGGATCTCACAGTGTATTTGGGATCATAAAGAGCCTGAACTTAATTTTTCAGAGCAAAATTATTAAACTTTGTCTTGTTACTATTATCTAAAAGTCAAAAGATAACAAATACTAGTAAGAATATAGAGAAAAAGAAACTCTCATATATTGTTGGTGGGAATTAGCACAGGCACTAGGGAAAACAGCGTGGAGGTTCCTCGGAAGATTAAATATAAAACTACCATATGATCCAGCACTCCTACTACTGGGAATACAGCAAAAAAAAAAAAAAAGAAATCAGTATTTCTTTTGTATGTCAAAAAGATATGTGTACTTCCATGTTGATTGCAGCAGTGTTTGCAATGGTCAAGATATGGAATCAACCAAAGTGTCCATCAATGGATGAGTGGAGAAAGAAAATGTGGAATGTATACACAATGAAGTACCATGTAGCCATAAAAAAGAATGAAATTCTATCGTTTGCAGCAACATGGATGAACCAGGAGGACATCATGTTAAGTGAAGTAAGCCAGGCACAGAAAGGCAACTACCACAAGATATCACTCAGTGGAATCTTAAAAAGCTGATCTCACAGAAGTAGTCAGTAGAATAGTGGTTACCAGAGGCTGGGGAAGGGAGGAGGAAAAGGGGTTAGAACAGGTTGTTTATAGGCACAGGGTCATAAATTAGGAGGAATAAGTTCTGGGGTGCTATTGTACAGAAGAGTGATATAGTTAACAATTTTATATGGTATATTTCAAAACAGCTAGAGGAGGGGATTTTATTGTTCTCATCATGAAGAATGAATATCTGTGATAATGGAAGTGTTAATGTATTAGTCCATTTTCACACTGCTGATAAAGACGTACCCAAGACTAGGCAATCTACAAAAGAAAGAGGTTTAATGGGGAGGCCTCACAATCATAGAGAAAAGTGAAAAGCATGTCTCATGTGGTGGCAGACAAGAGAAGAGAGCTTGTGCAGGGAAATTCCCCTTAATAAAACCATCAGATTTCATGAGACTTATTCACTATAATGAGAAAGGCACAGAAAAGACTCACCCCCATGACTCAATTACCTCCCTTCAGGTCCCTCCCACAACACATGAAAATTGTGGGAGTTACAGTTCAAGATGAGTTTTCAGTAGGGACACAGCCAAACCATGTTATTCTGTCCCTGGCCCCTCTCAAATCTCATGTCCTCACATTTCAAAGCCAATCATGTCTTCCCAACAGTCCCCAAAAGTCTTAACTCATTTCATCATTAACTCAAAAGTCCACAGTCTAAAGTCTCATCTGAGACAAGGCATGTCCTTTCCACCTATGAGCCTGTAAAATCAAAAGCAAGTTAATTACTTCCTAGATACAATGGGGATAGAGGCATTGGGTAAATACAGGCTTTCCAAATGGGATAAATTGTCCAAAACAGAGGGGCTACAGGCCCCTTACAAGTCCAAAAATCCAATGGGGCAGTCAAATCTTAAAGCTCCAAAATGATCCCCTTGGACTCCATGTCTCACATCCAGGTCATGCTAATGCACTGTGGCTTTGCAGGTTATAGACCCCTTCCCGGCTGCTTTCACAGGCTGGGATTGAGTGTCTGTGCTTTTCCAGATGCACAGTGTAAGCTGTGTATCGATCTACCACTCTGGTTCTGTAGGACAATGACCTTCTTCTCACAGCTCCACTAGGCAGTGCCCCAGTAGGGACTGTGTGTGGGGGCTCACATTCCATATTTCCCTTTCACACTGCCCTAGCAGAGGTTCTCCATGAGGGCCCTGCCCCTGCAGCAAACTTCTGCCTGCTCATCCAAGAGTTTCCATGCATCCTTTGAAATCTAGGTAGAGGTTCCCAAACCTTAATTCTTGACTTCTGTGCAGCCACAGGCTCAACACCATGTGGAAGCTGCCAAGGTTTTGGGCTTGCACCCTCTGAAGCCATGGACTGAGTAGTACCTTGGCCCCTTTTAGTTATGACTGGGATGCAGAGCACCAAATCCCTAAACTGCACACAGCAGAAGGACTCTGGTACCAGCCCACAAAACCATTTTTTCCTCCTAGGCCTCTGAATCTGTTATGGGAGGGGCTGTGACAAAGGTCTCTGACATGCCCTGGAGACATATTCCCCATTGTCTTGAGGATTAACATTGGGCTTCTTGTTACTTATGCAAATTTCTGCAGCTGGCTTGAATTTTTCCTTAGAAAATGGGATTTTCTTTTCTATTGCATTGTCAGGTGCAAATTCTCCAAACTTTTATTTTACGTTCTATTTCCCTTTTAAAAGTGAATGCCTTTAACAGCATCCAAGTCACCTCTTGCTTGCTTTACTGATTGGAAATTTCTTCCGCCAGATACCCTAAATCATATCTTTCTAGTTCAAAGTTCTCAAATCTTTAGGGCAGTGACAAAATGCCACCAGTCTCTTTGCTAAAACATAACAAGAGTCAGCTTTGCTTCAGTTCCCAACAAGTTCCTCATCTTTGAGACCACTTCAGCTTGAATTTCATTGTCCAAATCATTATCAGCATATTGGTCAAAGCCATTCAGCAAGTCTCCAGGGAGTTCCAAACTCCCACATTTTCCTGTCTTCTTCTGAGCCCTGCAAACTGTTCCAACCTCTGCCTATTACCCAGTTCCAAAGTCAGTTGCACATTTTCGGGTATCTTTTCAGCAGAGCCCCACTCTACTGGTACCAATTTACTGTATTAGTCTGTTTTCATGCTGCTGATAAAGACATACCTGAGACTGGGCAATTTACAGAAGAAAGAGGTTTAATGGACTCACAGTTCCACATGGCTGGGGAGGCCTCACAATCATGGCAGAAGGGGAAAGGCACATCTCACATGGTGGCAGACAAGAGAAGAGAGCTGGTGCAGGGAATCTCCCCTTTATAAAACTATCAGATCTTGTGAGACTTATTCACCATCACAAGAATAACATGGGAAAGTCCCATCCCCATGATTCAATTACTTCCCACAACATGTAGAAATCGTGGGAGCTACAATTCAAGATGAGATTTGAGTGGGGACACCACCAAACCATATCAGTTAAAGACCCTGATTTGATTATTACACAATGTAAAGATAAAAATGCTCTCATAACCCATAAATATGTACAAGTATTATAATTAAAATTTGCCTTGTTAAATATTTTTAATAACACTGATTTTTAAGACACTCTTTTTAAGACTGTACTATCTTTTGCAGGTAACACCATTTTTTTGAATAGGTATAATAAAGTTTCTGAAAAGCAAAGAAAATAGTTTTGTGATTGAGGTTTGTCTCACACATAATCATTTTATTTGTTCTTCAGAAACTTTATTACACGTTTAAAAATCACATTTAAATTACATACAACACAACAAAAAAAATCATTTCCAGCCCCTATTTCCACTCATTGTAGTGTGGCTATCAAAATAGTCTCTATTTTCTTCAACAAGAAATCGCTAAATCACTGTGTTACTTTTAGTTTAAACAAACAAACAAAAAAACTCATAATGCTCAGAACAGAGCTACCAGATGTTTAGGTTGAATCATTGTGAATTAGGACTTTCCAACTTAGTAGAAGACATATAAGAAACAAACCCACTAGGTGTAGGTATTTACCTATGGTTATTTGCCATCAAGCTGAATATAGGAATTGTGATGAATTATGGAGCACAATTTTAACCTATCATTCCTATGAAACTAGTTTTTTATTACCTTTACTAGGGACTACTATCGATTTAATTATGCTTTATTACTTAACATATAAAGATTTATGCTCCTAAAGTTTGTGTTTTATGTGAATGCCTAGCACTCATTAAATGTCCCATGGATGTCAAAATTTTGAGAAATACTCATCTGCAACACTGATACCATTGTGAATGGATCCCAGACTGCCTCCCTACTGAGCATGGATGCTTTCTGGAGGATTCTCTCTAATAGCCATATTTTGCTTATACATGAAAAGTCCACTCAAATGCCCCTTCACCCTTCTACTCTTTGTTGACCACATTTACGAAAACTTTTATGACTGTATAGAACATTGATGTGTACACCGTTTTCGGGTGTTTTAGGCAGGTTTAATAAAACAAGTGCTTATTAGGTACAAGCAATTTACTAAAGATTCTCCTTCAATTATTTCTATACACACAAAGAGAGGGCTAGCAGGCATATGGGGAAATTGTCAAAGAAGAGGAGGAGGAGGATTTGAAAGCAGAACCCCTAGATGCAATCTGTAATGCACTTTATATGTTGCTGTTATTTCTGCTTCTGGAGCCTGACCTGAAGTCCACAGGGCAGTCACTTCGAAAGAAAAGATAGACGTGAAGCAGGGGAGAGTCAGAATTAAGCAGAGCCTGTATGAGCGGGAATCTCTGTTGGCCACTCATTTTAGTGATGAGATTGACTTGCAGGAGAAGCAGGCACCCTTCATTTTGTTGTTAAATACACAATGTCCTAGGAGTCAGGGAAGCTGAAAAACAGACAAGAGTTGAAAGAGCTGCTGATCTGCTGCTGCTTCAGGCCAGCAAGGCAGGCTATGAGGTCCAAGAAAATGTATACGAATTGCAACGTGTTCTGACCCTACATTAATCTTCCGAGAATAAATGTGGCTTTACGTTTTCCTTCCAAAAACTCATGGAATAATCTAATGTGGCCAATCCTACCCAAGAACTATGGGAAAAAGGGATTCTGGGAAACAGTTCCAACTTGGTTAAGTTGGCAGAGTATGAAGCCACCATAGGAAGAAACCACTGCAGAATAGGAGCTAGTGAAATTTTCTGAGGTACTATTGAGAGTGTCTCTGGAGAAATACCTTGTCTGAGAAGGTGTAATTGTATCCACTTTAATTCTGATTGGTACTTAAATACTGGATGCACTGTGGTCATTAAATAGTCAGGGACCTTTTGAGTTGTTTCACAAGATGTTTCCTTAAAATCAGGGCCCAGTAAATATGATGGAACTGCATGGGACATAATGGTTCATGGAGCAGAAGAACCTCAAAAAGTCACTGGATAAGAATCTTTTGTTGGAAGCTGTTTGGCTTAAAAGTTAGAGGTATAGATTTAGGTGTCAGGAGGCTTTGTCTTCCACGTACTAGCTCTATGATCCTGGGCAAAACATTGAACCACTCACTCATTTGTTCAATACCTGGATCTATCATGTGTAAAATGGGAATGATAAGGATGGCCTGATAAAGTTGCTGTGAGCACAAAAAACTGCTCTTTTTAAAGCACTTAGAACTTTAAAAAAAAAAACTCTGACATACACTAAGAATCCAATAAATAGGAAGCATTTTTCATTGTGTTCCTATTGTAATAGGAAACTAGTTTCCTTAAAAAGGGATTAGAGAATTAGAACATGCTGAGCATGATAAATTTTAAAATTAAGTAGTATAAGTTTTCTCTGGGTTTAGCACAAGGGCACCAGATCTCAGGCATGGTGGGAATGAAGGAGACTTAGTTGTGTTTCAGTGGTTGAATCTAAGGTTAAAGGTGTGTGATTTACTCAGTATCTTCTTTGGTAAGTTTGTAGGATGCTAACCAGGCCATATTCTCAATTCTGCTTTTTTTTTGTTTATTTGTTTCTCTGTTTGCCTGTTTTTCTTTACAACCATTAGATTAAGATGGATTATTATATTCTATCTATAACTTTTAATAAAAAACAGTGACATCCTCTCTCTTGAGTTAATGACATTGGGCCTATGGTAATTCACCTATTAGGATAAAACAGTTAAGGAAAAAGTGTCAATTGACTCAGCAGACCTTCACATCCATGCAAGTGTTTCATTTTCCGTCCCTACCAGTTCAAGTTATGGGTACAAATGGCATCAGGGTGTAGGGGAGCCTACTTAATGGTGTGATGAAGAACACTGATATAGAAGCTATTCGTTTTGGTTCTTCCTACAGACTGGTTCCTAAACTATAAGTGAAAGTTGGTAGAGGCGGAGAGATGATTCTACAAGCTGGAGAGGCAGAAACATTAGAAAATATAGGAAGTGAACAGTAGAGGAAGTATATGTAATTCTTAGGTACTGTCACCTATGAGATAAGGGTCATGTGGCTGAATCTTCATAAGCCCCAGAAGTAGGCACTTGAGTGACTGTGAGAAGGCTGGGAAACTTAAAGATACCATGAGTAAAGATGAGTAGGTACAGAGTGCTCAGACCAACCCTGGAGATCATCTCAAAGGATCATGGAGACAGACTGAACGTCTGGGCAGATGCCATTGAGAGTGATCAATAAGAGGACAATGATTAGTAATTACAAATAGATGACCTCTTCCAACACCATTTTCTCTACATGAGGCCCAACAAATTGGGGGAAAAGAATGAGAGAATTGCTGCGAATTCTGAATTAGTGAGGGTTAAGCTTCAAATTGCTGGGTTTACTTAGAATTGACTAAGATTTTATCTTCTGCCTTTTGGCCTAACAGAGTCTCCGAATAGAGATACAACAAATATTACATGAGCCCAAGATATGTGCCTGACACTGTTTAGTCACTGGGGAGACATTTGTGAAGAAAACAAACAAAAATTCTTATATTCAGTGAAATTAAGAAAATATGTAGGAATATAAAGAATAAATAAGACAGATACTTAGAAACTTGTATATTTAGAGAAATATTTAGTGATTGTGGTTGTAGTTGAAATAGAAAGAAAATATGGAAAAGTATAGGTTATATATCTATAAAAATTATATTTATGCAAACTTTCATTTTGTAACATTAAAATACACTAAATATTCAAAATGCATATAAGAATTGACATAATTTTAAATGCTATTGGATTATAGAGGAGAAAGAGCTTATGACAAAATACATCATAGTTAGGGCAGTAATTACTTATTCGTATCTAAAGGGCAGACAGGATTTAGTTGGGCAAAGGAGAGACGAGAGACATCTGTTCAGCAAGGTAGAAACAAAGAGGCAGACACAAGACGAGTTCAAAGCATATAATTTCACTGGAGCAGAGGATTCATGAAGGGAATTTGCCTGAAAAAACACATTAAATGTGATTTGAAAAGATCTAAATGTGAATTGAATGATGGTGTTCTGGATCCTCATTGTTTCCCCTAGTTTGGATATGCATATATTTTTTCTATATCGTTTTGGATGACCTACTTAAAACTCAATTATAAAATTAACATGATATGTGCTTGAATGGACTGATTCATTTTTTAAATGTCTGATACAAGTTCAATAGCAAGCTGCAGTAAAATTATTGGTTTTTTATTTTACTATTTCTAAAGGAACATTAATAATGTCTGAATATCACAGTTTTATGCAACTTAAATTCTATAGGCAGAGGCCTATCGAAAAAGTATACCAGCTAATTAAGTAGTACATTTCCCATGTATCTAGCCTATGTGATGTGTAACTTTAGTGCATAACTTTTACAATGAAACATTTAAAATATGAAACAAAATGTCAATGTTCTTTAAATATAGATGAGAATTTATTTTAATAAATAACTATGCAAGTAACACAGGGAAAGGAAACATCATAAAAGTTTTAGGACTAAATCAACCTGAGCTTCTCAATCTGTGTTTCAGTTCTTTTGAGGCTTATTTTTCTTATCTATAAAATGGGTATAATAATGTGTGATTCTTTGTATTGTTTGAGATACTAGACATCAAAATACATCTTTTTATCCTAGCTCAGATATTTCTCTATTTGTGGCTTATATATCATGAAATAATACTTTGATATGACAAACACTCAAGTTCAATTTTTAAAATAGTTTATTGTACTTGAAGGCAGGAAGTTGACTTAAATGGCTTCTGGATCATATGATTTTACTTTAAAATATTTTGTAAAATCGTTATAGTGTATAACATTCATTTTATTTTCATAATACTTTTTTGGCCTCAGGATATCTCAAAAGACTATTATTCAAATATAAAAACAATTCAAGGAAATATTAGCAAAGTTTATGGAATTGTTTTTCTATATTTGAAAGAGTAAGAAGCCATACTAACCTTTTTAAAAAAAACTTTTTTTTGGAGACAGAGTCTCACTCTGTCGACCAGGCTGGAGTGCAGTGGTGTGATTTTGGCTCACTGCAAGCTCTGCCTCCTGGGTTCATGCCATTCTCCTGCCTCAGCCTCCCAAGTAGCTGGGACTACAGGTGCCCGCCACCACGCCTGGCTAATTTTTTGTATTTTTTAGTAGAGACGGGGTTTCACCATGTTAGCCAGGATGGTCTCGATCTCCTGACCTCGTGATCCACCCACCTCGGCCTCCCAAAGTGCTGGGATTACAGGTAAGAGCCACTGCACCCAGCCAATACTAGCCCTTTAACAATTTTTTTTAAATTCTAGAATTTTACTCTAATAAAAATGGCTCTCCAGAAATTGTGCTATCACCTAAAGAGTAAAATTTATGTCTTTATTCTGTCTATAGAAAAGAAAATTAACATCTAATGATTTGCTTAGAATAATAACCACAGATTTCTCAAACTACAGCTATGAACAAGGAACTATGCTTGTTTCTACTAGGATAGAGAATGAAACTGAAATATTCTCTATATTACAAATGGTCATCCAAGTGTCTACATTTGTTAAAAAAAAAAAAAAGTAAAACTAGGATTTTTCAAACCCATCAACTAATGGTCTATTTACTTCATGTTGCAATAATAGATTTGAGTATTCAGTAATTGATGAATTAAGTTGTTCAAGTGTCTAAAATATAGGGAACCTAATTATTTATAAAGACACACCAATTGAAACCTTAATTGTCTTCACTTGAATTTATTAAAAATAGGTATTTACTGAAGGCAAAATTGGCTTTCTCCTGTTAATAATTGTTAATAAAATGATAAATGGCTGATTTGATGTGTATCTTCAATTCAAAAAGGCAATTGTCTTATTGACCTTAAAAACGGCACAATAATTACTTTAAAAATTTTTACAAATACTCTGGTTATGACTGAATTTTATACAGTGTAGCATCATAACTTTGTTATAAATGACACTAATATTAAAATCAGACATTATAGTCTTAACAGTGATTTTCTTTTCCACATATTACTGTTAAGTCAGTAATATTGTCATTAAACTCTTGACATTAATGAACAAATGTAATCATCTTCATAAGAAGAAAAAATAGTGTAAATTTTGCAGTCCTAAGTGTTGGACTCTAGAGAGAAAGTTCTGTTTTCTTTTTAATTTTTAACTGAAGTACTACACAGACTCCCTAAAACTAGCCTCCACACAGCTAATAACATCAAACATTCCCCTGCTTCATACTTTCATGCCTTTCTCATCACACTTAGAATGAGATCTATGTTTTTATCACGGACTCTAAAGCCAAATAGAATTTGTCTCTGACTCTCTTCAACCTCACCTCTTCCTTTCTCTGTCTCACTAAGTTCTAGTCATGCTGACTTCTCTTTTCTTCCTTGAACATGCCAAATTTTTCCCCTCATTCAACCGTTGCACTGGACACCTCTTTTCCCAGAATGTCTCCCCCAGAGTTTTTTTGTCTGGCTCTGTCTCATTATTTAGGTCCAATTGAAATACGCCCCCAACCCAAAGCCAATGTAAAGCAGACCCCCACCTCACAGTCACTCATATGTCACCTGATTTTATTTTTGCTTTGTGCTTGCCCTTACCTGAAATTATATAATTCATTTACTTATTTACTTGGTTCCCACAAGGATGTGCCTCTTATGAGAACAAGCACCATTTCTCTCATTACCACTCTATTCTCAATACCTAGGAAGGGCAGATAATAGGTTTTCAATTAATAATATGAATTAGTAAATGAAAAGCAACTGAGATATACTATTTCTCTTTAATCTGGAGCTTAAGAAAAGATATATAACTAGAGTGAACATTTGGACTGGGGATCAATGAGTTAAATAAAACCACTAGCACCATTCTCTTTTAATGTGATTTTCACTAGGCTTCTTTGGTCAACTCAATCAAAGGTGTTAAATAGTTGCATATGTTTTCTCAGGATGTTATGGTAATATAAGGAAAAATTAAACCAAGTCAGTAATGCCCAGTCTAGGTTTCCGAATCCACATTAGAAGAAAAGTGGTCTTTCGGTCATGTTGCACATAGAAATGAACACATTCTTCTGGCTGCCCTGTGACATGAGTTATTTTCCTTCTGTGGTGTTGGGGCTCCTGAATTGTGTTGTCCTTCAAGCAGCTCTGCAACTCCTATCTGTACAGAGGCTTCTGTCACCGCTCCTGCCAAGTCACTGACTACCAGCACTGCAGGCACAAACTGGTCTGTGCCAAGTCACAGTTGTGCATGTCTAATGAGTCACCACCATGTTCTGTAGCCCTCTATGTGGGCCAAAGCATGGAGAATAGGAGAAAACCCCTCACCCCTTCCTTGGGGAAGGTAACTCTGTTGCCTAAGTTCACAGGCAGAGCTGCTTAGGCTCTCAGCATCTCACAAGATTTTCTTTGATTATTGGGCTTGTTTTCATTATCGTCATAATGTGCATTTTTAAATCAATTAGCTCTTTTAGTTTTTGCTTATAGTCAGTGTCTCTGAATGATTCAGACATAAACCTGTGGAGGCTGTGCCAGATGTTACAATAACTTGAGGGACATACCATGTTATTCTCAGAATCCTGTCTCCCTTCTGTCTCTCAGACACTGTTCTAAGCCAGATTTGGTGGTTGTTTGTTTTCTTTCCTTTGACCTTAATCCAATTAGACCCCAGGCAGTCATACCCATCCTAGAGCTCTGACATTATCAGTTTCTTAAGCACAAGACAATGATGACCTAAGCTAATGACTGCTTGGTTTCAAGTTGAGATTCCTACTATATAAAAATGTCTGATTTGGTTAAAACAGAAAGAGAATGTATTTGCGATTCACTGAAATCCTCTTAAATGTCTTTGTTATATGGCAAAATTTATAAATATTTTTTATTTGGACAAGAACCTTGCCCTTAGGGCTGTTTCAAGACAAACATCCAATCATTAAACATATTAGTAAAATATCTAAGATATAGTTAATATCATAAATAAAAAATACAGAATATGTCACAGTTTTAGTCTGCCTTAAATTGGATCTTTTTCTGGGGGTGGAAGTAGAGAAGTTCTTTTCCAGAGTAAAGATACTGTAGGCTGTCTTTGTAACTTCCTAGTCGCAAGAACTTGAACAACCTCCCTTAACTGCACTCATAACTAATGTAAGATTTTCTGTTTATATATCAAAAAGCTGTATGGAAACTCAAATAAAAAATAATTTTGAACATTTTCTATTTTTAAAGAACAATGCAAATGTTTGCCACCCATTCTTATCTTTTGGACATGAAATTACTAAGACATACATTTCTCAGAGAGCTCTGGTGAGGATTCTGAGGCAGTGAAGGGATCAGGGGGAAAGAGTGCCATTATTGATTAGTGTTATCCAACACTGATATAGAAACAGCAAAGAAGAGGGAAGAAAGGTCCTGTCAGTCCTAGTAGCATGATGAGAGTGACATGCTACCAACAGTGTCCTGCATTACTCTGGGGGAATATCTTAGTAACTAGCAAGAATCTTGTAACAGTAAGAAAGAAGGAGGAAAGGTCCTGGCAATCCTAATAGCATGATGAGAGTCACATATGCTACCAACAAAGTGTCCTGGATTACTCTGGGGAATATCTTAGTAACTAGCAAGGATATAGGAGTAAACCAGCCTGTTAGCAAAGAAAATCATTAAAGGACTTTATTGTCTCTAAATCATAAGCCCCTTTCCATGTGATTCAGGACAAGTCATGGCCCAATCCAAATTCAGTTTCCCAAGGCTTATTCATTGAATTATCACAACTATCCACTCTCAGCAAATTCTTCCTATCTTAATACTAGTCCTCATAGCAAAAAACTTACAAAAGGAAAGTATAGATGTTATTTCTCTGTGCAAAAAATTTTCTTCCAACTGATACTCGGAATTTGATTTTAAGGAACTCTTTAGCAATCAACTACGAAACCCTCAGTGACTTGTATTTTGTTGATCATTGGGAAAGCAGAAACATTTCCTAATCCATAATGTCTCTCTCTCTCTCTCTCTCTCTCTTTTCTTTTTTTAACTTTAGTGCAATGATTCTCAAGGGGAGGGGAGTACAATTATCTACATTAGAAAAAGTCTGGAGACATTCTAGATTGTCATAACTTGGGGGAAGGTACAGCTAGTAGGTAGAGGTTAGAAATGCTGCTAAACATTCTGTGATGGACAGGACAGTCCCTCAAAACAAAAATTATCAAGCCCTAAATGTTAATGTTGTGAAGGTTATGAAACTTTACTTGAGAAGAACGTGTGCCTTGATAGCAAAATTGTTAGAATTCTGCTTAGAATTCTCTTCCGTTCCTCAATTAGTGGAGAATCCTGGGGGAGAAAGAAATCATTTATGCAGAAGACCAGCCACATATAACCATTCTTGTCTTAAGAATACTGGAAGAAGAGTAGTAAATGTAAAGTTATCTATCTGAAATAATCTCTAGATTTACTTTGATACTAAATTTCAGTATGTGGAATATCAGACCCCTCTATGATTATAAATATGACACCTTCAATATATGCAAAGCACATGGCAAGTACAATGATAGGCTATTTTCCTTCCATAATACCTATAAGTGGTCATGACTCTTAATTCTAGTATAACTGTAGATGATAGAAAACCTAAATATATTTTAACTGATAACAACTTGACTCTTGCCTTTCTTCAAATTATTCCTTGTATGATATGGTTCTATAGTTATTTACAAGTCAACCTTAGTGACTTCTCATTCCTGCATAGTTAAAAATAAAAAGTGATACAAGCGTTTATGAATATCTTTCCATTCAAATTCAATGTGGTAATTAAAATGTAATGAAAAACATTTATCTTTCGTCAAATCACTTTGACATCTTGGTTCAAGAAAATGATTCTATAACGTCTCTTTTTCTAAGTAAGGCTAATAGCCTGTCTTTTCACTAGGAACCAAAATAAATATGACAATATTAGAGTCTTCACGTTTGTTTTCAATTAAAATATACAACTGCATAAATGTAAAAATATTAAACATGAGATATTTATTTTGTGATTTACCTTTTTAATTGTTTCATTTCTTTGAAATAAATCAGGTCAGAAATAAAATGTGCTTATTGTCCTCTTTACTTTTTCATTGGGTTTTTCTTTTCTACAAAGTTACAGCTCAGTTTTATTATGTAGGGTTACTGCATGGTTCTTTTCATATATCAAGATGAAAATAGTGACAAGTTCAGTGTCTTTAATTTGTCTCTGATTATTTTTCAATAAATCATGTCTAGAGTAAGTATTGAGTTGTTTTTGTAATCAAAATCTGTTATGTTTTTATGGGATATTTAATATTTAAATACTGGTATTTTGAAGGCTTAATTGATTTTCTATTTTATTTCTTCTAAAAAGAAAAAAATGGGATACATGTACAGAACGTGCAGGTTTGTTACATAGATATACACATGCCATCGTGGTTTTTTGCAGCTATTGACTCGTCCACTAAGTTCCCTCCTATCACCCCCTACCCCCCAACAGGCCCTGGTGTGTGTCGTTGCCCTCTCTGTGTCCATGCATTCTCATTGTTCAACTCCCACTTATGAGTGAGAACATGCAGTGTTTGGTTTTCTGTTCCTGTGTTAATTTGCTGAGGATGATGGCTTCCAGCTTCATCCATGTCGCCGCAGAAGACATGATCTCATTCCTTTTTATGGCTGCAGAGTATTCCATGGTGAATATCTACCAAATTTTCTTTATTATCATTAATGAGCATTCGGGTTGGTCTTTGCTATTGTAAGTAGTGCGCAAAAAACATATGTGTGATGTGTCTTTATAGTAGAATGATTTCTATTTCTTTGGGTATATACCCAGTAATGGGATTGCTGGGTCAAATGGTATTTCTGGTTCTAGATCCTTGAGGAATGGTCCATATTGTATTCCACAATGGCTGACCTAATTTACATTCCCACCAACAGTGTAAAAGCATTCCTATTTCTCTATAGTCTTGCCAGCATCTATTGTTTCCTGACTTTTTAATAATGGTCATTCTGACTGGCATGAGATGGTATCTCATTGTAGTTTTGATTTGCATTTCTCTGATGATCAGTGATGTTGAGCTTTTTTTCATATGTTTGTTGGCCACATACATGTCTTCTTTTGAGAAGTGTCTATTCATATCCTTTGCCCACTTTTTGATGGGTTTTTTTTTCTTGTAAATATGTTTGAGTTTCTTATAAATCCTGGTTATTAGACCTTTGTCAGATGAGTAGATTGCAAAAATTTTCTCCCATTCTGTAGGTTGCCTGTTCACTTGGATGATAGTTTTTTGTTTTTTTGTTTGTTTGTTTGTTTTTTGCTGTGCATTAGCTCTTTAGTTTAATTAGATTCCAGTTTTCAATTTTGGCTTTTGTTTCTATTCTTCTGGTGTTTTAGTCATGAAGTCTTTGCCCATGCCTGTGTCCTGAATGGTATTGCCTAGGTTTTCTTCCAGGTTTTTTATGGTTTTGGGTTTTACATTTAAGTTGTTAATCCATTTTGAGTTAATTTTTGTATAAAGTGTAAGGAAGGGGTCCAGTTTCAGTTTTCTGCATATGGTTAGCCAGTTTTCCCAGCACCATTTACTAAAGAGGAGATCATTTCCATTTGGCTTGTTTTTGTCAAGTTTGACAAAGACCAGATGATTGTAAATGTGTGGTGTTACTTCTGAGGTCTCTGTTCTTCTCCATTGGTCTACATGTCTGTTTTGGTACCAGTGCCATGCTGTTTTGGTTACTGTAGCCTTGTAGTATAGTTTAAAGTCAGGTAGCCTGATGCCTCCAGCTTTGTTATTTTTGCTTAGGATTGTCTTGGCTATACAGGGTCTTCTTTGATTCCAAAAATAATTTTAAATTGTTTTCTCTAATTCTGTGAAAAATGTCAATGGTAATTTGATGGGAATAGCATTGACTCTATAATTACTTTGGGCAGTATGGCCATTTTCACAATATTGATTCTTCCTACCTCTGAGGGTGGAATGTTTTCCATTTGTTTGTGTTGTCTCTTATTTCCTTGAACAGTGGTTTGTAGTTCTCCTTGAAGAGGTCCTTCACATCCCTTGTTAGCTGTATTCCTAGGTATTTTATTCTATTTGTAGCGATTATGAATGGGAGTTCATTCAGGATTTGGCTCCCTGCTTGCCTATTGTTGGTGTAAAGGAATGCTTATGATTTTTGCACATTGATTTTGTATCCTGAGACTTTGCTGAAGTTGCTGATCAGCTTAAGGAGTTTTGGGGCTGAGACAATGGGGTTTTATAAATATAAAATCATGTCATCTGCAAACAGAGACAATTTGACTTCCTTTCTTCCTATTTGAATATGCTTTATTTCTTTCTCTTGCCTGATTGCCCTGGCCAGAACTTCCAATACTATGTTGAATGGGAGTGCTGATAGACGGCCTCCTTGTCTTGTACTGGTTTTCAAAGGGAACGCTTCCAGCTTTTGCCCATTTGATATGATATTGACTGTGGATTTGTCATAAATAGCTCTTATTATTTTGAGATATGTTCCATCAATACCTAGTTTATTGAGAGTTTTTAACATGAAGGGATGTTGAATTTTATGAAAGGCCTTTTCTGCATCTATTGAGATAATCATGTGGTTTTTGTCATTGGTTCTGTTTATGGTGATGGATTATGTTTATTGATTTGCATATATTGAACCAGCCTTGCATCCCAGAGATGAAGCTGATTTGATTGTGGGAGATAAATTTTTTGATGTGCTGCTAGATTTGGTTTGTGGTATTTTATTGAGGATTTTCACATCAATGTTTATCAGGGATACTGGCCTGAAATTTTCTTTTTTTGCTGTGTCTCTGCCAGGTTTTGGTATCAGGATGATGCTGGCCTCATAAAATGAGTTAGGGAAAAGTCCCTCCTTTTCAGTTGTTTGGAATAGTTTCAGAGCTAATGGTACCATATCCTCTTTGTATGTCTGGTAGAATTCAGCTGTGAATCTATCTAGTCCTGGGCTTTTTTGGTTGGTAGGCTACTAATTACTGGCTCAATTTCAGAACATGTTATTGTTCTATTGAGGAATTCAGCTTCTTCCTGGTTTAATCTTGGGAGGGCATATGCATTCAGAAATTTACCCATTTCTTCTAGGTTTTATAGTTTATTTGCATATAGGTATTTATAGTGTTCTCTGATGATAGTCTGTATTTCTGTGGGGTCAGTGGTGGTATTTCCTTTATCATTTTTTATTGTGTCTGTTTGATTCTTCTCTCTCCCTTTCTTTATTAGTCTATCTAGTGGTCTATCTATTTTGTTAATTTTTTCAAATAGTAGCTCCTGTACTCGTTGATTTTTTGGAGAGTTTTTCATAACTCTATCTCCTACAATTCTTCTCTGATCTTAGTTATTTCTTGTCTTCTGCTAGCTTTTGAATTAGTTTGCTCTTGCCTTTCTAGCTCTTTTAATCGTGATGTTAGGGTGTTAATTTGAGAGCTTTCTAGCTTTCTGATGTGGACATTTAGTGCTATAAATTTCCCTCTTCATATAGTTTTAGCTGTGTCCCAGAGATTCTGGTACATTACCTCTTTGTGCTCATTGGTTTCAAAGAACTTCTTGATTTCTGCCTTAATTTTATTATTTTCTCAGGAGTCATTCAGAAGCAGGTTGTTCAATTTCCATGAAATTGTGTGGTCTTGTGTGAGTTTCTAAATCCTTAGTTCTAATTTGATTGCACTGCAGTCTGAGAGACTGTTATGATTTCTATTCTTTTGCATTTGCTGAGAAGTGTTTTACTTCCAATTATATGGTTGATTTTAAAATAAGTGCCACATGGCACTGAGAAGAGTGTATATTCTGTTGTTCTGAGGTAAAGAGTTCTGTAAACATCTACTGGGCCCACTTGATCCAGAGCTGAGTTCAAGTCCTGAATATCCTTGTTAATTTTCTGTCTCATTGATCTGTCTAATACTGACAGTGGGGTGTTAAAGTCTGCCACTGTTATTGTGTGTGGGAGTCTAAGTCTCTTTGTAGGTTTCTAAGAACTTGTTTTATGAATCCAGGTGGTCCTTTACTGGTTGCATATATATTTAGAATAGTTAGCTCTTCTCGTTGAATTGTTCCCTTTACCATTGTGTAATGCCCTTCTTTGTCTTTTTTGATCTTTGTTGGCTTAAAGTCTGTTTTGTCAGAGACTAGGATTGCAACCCCCTGCTTTTTTTTTTTTTTTGCTTTCCATTTGCTTCGTAAATTTTCCTCCGTCCCTTTATTTTGAGCCTGTGTGTGTCTTTGCACTTAAGATGGGTCTCCTGAATAGAGCACACTGATGGGTCTTGATTCCCGATCCAATTTGCCAGTCTGTGTCTTTTAATTGAGGCATTTAGCCCATTTACATTTAAGGTTAGTATTGTTATGTGTGAATTTGATCCTGTCATCATGATACTATTTGGTTATTTTGCACACCAGTTGATGCAGTTTCTTTGTAGTGTCATTGGTCTTTATATTTTGTTGTGTTTTTGCAGTGGTTGGTGTCAGTTTTTCCTTTCCATATGTAGTGCTTCTTTCAGGAGCTCTTGCAGGTCAGACCCGGTGGTAACAAAATCCATCAGCATTTGCTTGTCTGGAAAGGATTTTGTTTCTCCTTCACTCACAGAGCTTAGTTTGGCCAGATATGAAATTCTGGATTAAAAATTCTTTTCTTTAAGAATGTTGAATGTTGGCCCCCACTCTCTTCTGGCTTGTAGAGTTTCTGCAGAGAGATCCACTGTTTGTCTGATGGGCTTCCCTTTGTAGGTGACCTGCCCTCTCTCTCTGGCTGCCCTTAACAGTTTTTCCTTCATTTCGACTTTGGAGAACTCGATGATTATGTGTCTTGGGGTTGATCTTCTCTTGGAGTATCTTAATGGTGTTCTCTGTATCTCCTGAATTTGCATGTTGGCCTGTCTTGCTAGATAGGGGAAGTTCTCCTGGATAATATTCTGAAGTGTGTCTTCCAGCTTGTTTCCATTCTCTCTGTCTCCTTCTGGTACTCCAATCAATTGTAGGTTTGGTCTTTTTATTAGGTCCCATATTTCTTTGTGCCTTTGTTCATTACTTTACACTCTTTTTTCTCTATTCTCATCTGCACCTCTAATTTCAGTAAGGTGGCCTTCAAACTCTGATATCCTTTCTTCTGCTTGGTCTATCTGGCTGTTGATACTTGTGTATGTTTAACAAAGTTCTCATGCTGTGTTTTTAAGCTCCATCAGGTCATTTATTTTCCTCTCTAAACTGGTAATTCTAGTTAGCAATTCTTCTAACCTTTTATCACGGCTCTTAGCTTCTTTGCATTGGGTTAGAACATGCTCCATAGCTCATCATAGTTTTTTATTACCCATCTTCTGAAGGCTGCTTCTGTCATTTGGCACATCTGATCCTCCATCCAGTTCTGCACCCTTGATGGAGAGACGTTGCGATCATTTAGAGAAGAAGCACTCTGGCCTTTTGGGTTTTCAACACTTTTTCATTGATTCTTTCTCATCTTCATGAGTTTGTCTAGTTTCAGTCTTTGAGCCTGCTTATCCTTTAATGGGGTTTTGTGGGGGCCTTTTTGTTGTTGTTGTTGTTGATACAGTCGTTGTTGCTTTCTGCTTGTTTGTTTTTCTTTCAATAGTCAGGTCCCACTTCTGTAGGCTTGCAGTTTGCTGGGGGTTCACTTCAGGCCCTATTCAACTGATTCACTCTTGTGCCTGGAGATGTCACTCAAGGAGGCTAGAGAGTAGCAAAGATGGGTGCCTACTTCTTCTTCTGGGACCTCTGACCTCAAGGGGCACCAACCTGATGCCAGTAGGATTGCTCCTGTGTAGGCTGTCTGACAACCCCTGTTAGAGGGTCTTACCCAGTTTGGTGGCACAGGGAGCAGGACCCGTTTAATGAATCACACTTTGTCCCTTGGTGGAGAGGGTGTGTTTCACTCAGGGGAAACCCACTCACCTGGGCTGCCCAGATTCCTCAGAACTACCAGGAGGAGAGGCTAAGTGTGCTGGTCTGCAGAGACTGTGGCCACCCCTTCCCCTAGGGGCTCAGCCCCAGGGAGATCCAAATTCTGTCCCTGAGCCTCTAGCTGGAGTTATTGGAGTTCCTGTGGGGAAGCCCTGCCCATGGAGGAAGGATGGGTCAGAGTTAGGCCTGATGAGGCACTCTGGCCACAGATTGCCACAGCTAGTGTGTTGGGCTGTAGGGACAAGTCTTGGGACCAAGCCGTCCAGCCTTCCTGGCTTCAGTAGGGGAAAAACAGCCTGGAGCTATAGAAATGGGTGCTGCCCTTCCTCCACCCAGGGAGCTAGGCGAGTTAGGCTGTTGTGATTCACAGTGCTGGCTGCTGCTCCTCCCCCAAGGAGCTCAAACAGCTTAGACATTAGGTTGCCGCCAGTGCTCCTTCAATGGATTTTCTACAACATACCTACAACCA
Source organism: Homo sapiens (assembly GCF_000001405.40). Lineage (NCBI taxonomy): Eukaryota > Metazoa > Chordata > Mammalia > Primates > Hominidae > Homo > Homo sapiens. Next base: position 74,612 of record NW_021160014.1, read on the forward strand.
TTTAAAAAATGTGTTGTCAGTGAAAAAGTATTTTCGTTTGATGATTGTGGAACCAAGAGGATCCCAAGAACATTTCAGGGATTTATTAATTTAAACTTATATATTGGTAAGAAATCCATTAAAGGACAAAATAGCCCATAGATTTTAATAGCTTTATAATCACCTTAAGCTAGATCACATGGTTATATATACTTTCTACCTTGTACATTATTATAAATGACAGTCCTGCTAAACTTTCTGCCACTATTTAGTAATTATACCTTACCTCTAGTTTCCAATAAGATTTTCTTCACTTCCCTTTAAGTCTTTACTGATAGTCACCTCAAAGTCCAAATTTTATGAATAATTTGTTCAAGGTTCATTAAGTGTTTGCTAATATTATCATCAAAGTCCACTGCCCTGTTTCAAAGCAATTTCTTCGTTTTAAGTTTTTGATATGGTAGCATCCGATTTTGTTACTAAAATCTGTATTACTTCTCTATTGCTGTGTAACAAATCACCCCCAAAATTAGTGGCTTTAAACAACAAATACTTACTATTTCATGTTTTCTGTGGGTGAGGATTTTAGGATTACCTTAGTTCGATATCTCTCATGAAGTTGCTATCAAGATATTGCCTAGGCTGCAGTCATCTGAAAGTTGAGTGGTGCTGAATGACCTTTGTCCAAAGTGGGTCAGCTACATCGCTGTTGGCAGATGGGCTCAGATCCTTGTAGCCATCATTATAGGCCCAATAGGTTGCCTGAGTTTCCCCATGGCATAGCGGCTGACTACCAGTAGAGTGAGTGATCCAAGTGAGAGAATCTAGGAAATGACATAGCATCACTTCTTCTACGCCCTGTGAGTCATAACCCTGAAAAACGTGAGACGGGATTACACAAAAGTGTAAATACCTGAAACAGGAATTTTTGTAGGCAAAGTTGGAGGCTGACTACCACATACACTTTTGCAATCCATGTGCTCCTCTGCACATGACCACATGGAACCATTGATTTGCTTTTTATCACTATAAGCTACTTTGCACTTTTTAACATTTTCAATAAATGAGTATGTACCCTTTTGTGTCTAGCTTCTATCACTCAGCATAATTTTGAAATTTATCTATATTGAAGAGTTTATGAGTCATTTTTTCTTTTTTATTGCTATGAGTTTCACTGTGGAAATCCTACACATTGTATCTATCTATTTACTTGTTCTTCAATATTTGAATTTTTACCAGGTTTTTATATTACAAATAAAGCTTCTATAAATATCTGTGTCTGTCACACACTTTATGTGAACGTATAACTTTATTTTTTTTGGGCAAAGACTTAGGAATGGAATGACTGTGTCCTATGGTAGGTACATGGTTAATTTTTAAAGAAACTGCCAAACTTTTCCAAAGTGCTGTACCATGTTACAGTAATATATGAGAGTGCCAATTGTTTTACACCCTTGACACCATGTCATATTTGTAGTTTTCTTAAGCTATTCTAATATCTCTATAATGGTGTCATATTATAGTTTAAAGTTGCATTTCTCTGATGACTTTTCATTTGCTTAATTACTACTATGTGTGTTTTTCCTTTCTTTTTCCTCTTTCTCTTTCCTCTTCCTCCTCTCCTTGATCCTCTCTTTCTCCTTTCTTTTCTACTTCTCCTCTTTTGCTGTTCAAATTATTTGGCCAGTGTAAGAGTTTATACAAATTAGATTAAAGTCCTTGGTGAGGTAAGATATTAATGTTTTCTCCCATTATCTGGCCACCTTTTCACTTTCTTAATGTTTTATTTTCAAGAGAAATATATTACATTTTAATAAAGGCCAATTTTTTCAACATTTTATTTTACAGGTCCTATCTAAAAAAGCCTTTGCCTGCTTCCAGGCTGTAAAGATTTTATCTTTAGTTGTCTTTTAGAAGTTTTATATTTTTTACTTTTATATTTAGTTATATTCCCCTTTTTGAGTAAATTCTGTAGGCTGTCAGGTTAAGGGTTGATGTTCATTACTTCACAGATACCTACTTCCATCAGTTTTTTTTTTAAAAACTTGCTTTAAAAATCTTGATTCAAAATCTTTGACCATATATTTATACAACGATTTCTGGACTCTACATTGTTCAACTGACTCATATATCCTTTGTTATGCTAATACCACACAGCCTTTATTATTGTAGCTTTATATTGTGGTTTTGAAGGTTAATGTAAATTATCAAGCTTGGTTTTTATTTTGTAAAATTGCTTTGGACTTTCTAGGTTTTTTTTCCATCTCAATATAAATGTTATAATAAGCTTATCAAGTATTTCCAAAAATCTTGTTAGAATTTGGGGGTAATTGCTTTGCATTTGTAGATCTATTTGAAGAGAATCAGTGTTTAAAAAATATTGAGTTTTTCCTTCATTAACATGGTATATCTCCTCATATAGGTATTCTTTAATTTCTCTTAGCAATGTTTTACAGATCTGAGTGTAGATGTCTCATAAATATTTTTTCTAAATTTTATTATTAGGTTTTTATTCTGATAGATATTTTAAAATTATGCTTTCCAATTGCTTATTGTTAGTATATAAAATATTATTGAGTTTTATACCTTAACAATGTTACATTTACTTATTAATTCTAATAAATTTTTAAGACCCTGAGGATTTTTTTATTAAAACAATCATGTCATGTATAAATAGAAGCAATTTTATTTCTTCCATTTTGATTCTTACTACTGTTATTTCTTTGTCTTGCCTTGTTCCGATGGCTAAACATTTCATACCCCGTAAAAAAGAAGTTATTTTAAATCTTCTATGTGTGTGAGAGAGGAAGGTGGCATTAGTATTAAGCATTGCTCCACTGTATATTATATTAACTGTAGAATTTTTATAGATGACTTTTATAAGACAGAGGTAGTTCCCTTCTATTCATAGTTTGCTGGTAACTTTTACCATGAATTGGTGATGAGTTTTGTCAAATAATTTCTCTGCCTCTGTTGAATTGATTATATGGTTGTTCTCCTTTATTTTGTTATTTTGTGAATTACATTGAACTCTTTGGAAGACTACTACTTGATTATAATGCATTATATATTGGTGGATTTCATTTGCTATAATTTTTAAAGATTATTACATCTATGTTCACAAAGGCTATTATTATTCCATAATTTTTCATGATTTTATCTTTACTGCTTTCAAGATTTTATTTAATCTTTGGTTTTCGTCAGTTTGACTATGGTATTTCTAGGCGAGTTTTTCCTGTTTCTCTTATTTGAAGTTTGCTGTTATTTAAACTGTAAATTGATATTTTTCAACAAATTTAAGAAGATTTTTGTCATTTAAAAAAATATTTCATTCTGAGACTCCACTTTTACAAATGTTGGAGATTCCTCTGATTCTGTTTGTTCATTATGAATGTACTTTTCTTTATTTCATTGAGCACACTTGTGATAGCTGTTCTAAAGTTCTAGTTTAATAATTCCAATATCTGGATTATATTGGAGCTGGCCTGTGTTAATTATATTTTCCCTTAAGAAAACATGATGTGCTTTGGTTGTTTGCAAGATGTTGTTTTAGATTTTATCATGGAAGTGTTGAATGTCAAATATGGATTCTATTACATTGCTTCAAAAAGCAGTAGCTATTTTTTTAACAGGCAGTTGGTTAGATTCACACTACAAATGCTATCACACCTGCTTATATCACATTTGAGACTTATTTGCAAACTGCTTTGAGACATGTCTGCATATTCATTGTTCAGGGCTGTAATATACTACGAAACATATTGTCCATCTAAGATTAATGATCGTCATAACGCCCACTCAAGCATCTTGCAGAATAGATACAATGTGTTACCTTGTAGTATGATGGAAGCTGGTCCAGGAATTTCTAACTCTGGTCTGAGGATTTCCAAGAACAAAAAAAAAAATCATCTCAGCACAGATGCAACTTTCATGAACCTTAAAACAAAGCTTACCCTTACAGGAATAGCTTAAACTCCCTTTGTGAAAGAATCACCTGGTAAGTGGTCCAGACTGAATACAGGTGTAAAAAAGAGAGAAGAATCCCCCAGACTCTGAGAATAGTCTCCAGATGGAGACTCTCTGGTTAGGCAGTCATATGGCCCCTGCATTTGGTCCATGTCACTGGCCTGCACCTGCTATTCATCTTTTAATAGCACTGCCAGAATAAACTGCTGGAACATCAAACGGTGCCTAAAGCTCATCTTTGATGTGAGTTGAGCTGAAAGGAAAAATTTGTCCCTGGGGCAAGCTAGTTAAATTGGACCACCCAAAGAGCTCTGAACATGACAAAGAGTCAAACAGCAACTTCAGCAGAGTTTACACATATAACCCAGGGCACTCTTTCTTTGGCTCCTTCCTTTCCAGGATCCCTACGGCCTCAATTTCCAGCAGATGTGGTCACTTCAGACTCTGTTACCTGGTTAATTATGCTAGAAATAGAGAGGATTTTATAATAAAGTTTCATCCACCTTGTATCATGCCACAATTATGGCCAATCTTCAAGCCAGTCCAAAAAAAATTAGAAACCCATTTTTTTCTGATTTGTTATATCAGGTTTGGACCCCTATCCAAAATCAGTTTTAATTTTTTCCACTCTCTGTAGCCTTGGCTAGTTTTTGTGTGTGTGTTCAAATCTGAGTTACATTTGTTCTCTGCAGTAGGGTTTTCTTAGGGACGTACTCTGCCATATAGGAAGCAGAAGCGCTAATGTTACTTAGCATTTGAGTCTTCAAATAATAATAAATTTCTGGAAGATAATAAAATGAAATATAAGATTGGAAAACAGTGTCTGCTTCTCAGTATTGAAAATGTAGAGGACACAGTATTAAATATATTTGAAAATCATATATAATATAAGCGCTGTGATCTTCCAAGGTGTTTCTAAGATGAGTAGTTAAATGGATTTAAAGGTAGACTTGGGAGTTCGGATTCAAGTGTGTGTCATGATATATGTGGAATGTATTTGTCCATGTATGTGTTGGTTCAGATACTTTTAAGAAGGAGAAGGAAAAAAATAGAGGTAATTTATTAGGGAGAAGGATACATGACATTATTGACTAAGGTTCCAAGGCTGTAAACAATTAGGCATGGATTTAAATTATGTACAATGATAGTGATAATGGTAGGAAATATAGCCATAATAATTTTAGCTAATATTTATTATTCTTTTGTTTGTGAAACATCATGTTAATCGGTTTGCACAGTTTTTTAGATAACTTTCAGATAATTCTACAAGAAGGGGAGCTATTATCTCAGTTTTACAAATGAGAAAATCTGGGTGTAGAGAGATTTGCTAACTTTCCAAAGATCTTAAAACTAGTAGAGAACAGGAATTTGAATCCAGTTTTGAGCTTTAACAATTTTTTATATGCTATAGACCAGATGTTTGACTCAATTTCTCCTTGTAGTACTTGACCCAAAAATCATTTTCAATGTACTCTTATTACTAGGTTTTATCTGGGATAACATGCTGTCGTTCACTATTAGCCCACGTTAATAGTCAGATACTACATTATAGACATGTTTAAAAAGAAATTTTAGTCATTTAGCCTTGTAACTTAAAATTTTTCGGAGTTATTTTCTGTGTAAGTATCTGAAAACCCTGTCAATATAAATAGCTTTTTTTCTGCTAGCTCAAGTACAAAATCTATGTGCCAGGTGTTGACCTTGTTAAATTACTGGTGAAAACATGTTTTTGTCAGCTGCTAGAGGAAACTTCTGAGGTGCTACCTCTGGTTTGACAATTATTTTTAATATTATAAATTAATGTGTAGAAGGAAAAGAGCAATATGCACAAGCAAGCTAAACTTAAAAAATACTGAATTTAAAATAACTGAGTACAGGGCTTATGATAACAAAGGATGAGTAAATGCTATAAATTAATTGATGTAATCCTCTTTGAAAATTCACATTATTTAAAAACAAAGACAATGTAACCTAAAGAACCACTGTTATTTAATAAAGATTTTTAAATAAGTTTAGCTCCTTTCTCTGCTTTGAAAAATTTGTCAACTTTACCTGAAGGTGACCTCTGAGACCATTTGTGTGTGAAATTTCTCTTCTACTCTTTTCTCAATTGTACATTCACCTTGTTCTAGCCTGAAAAATGTGTATCCAATTGTCAAAATGATTCTTTTGGGTAATTAAAAAATATTTTTTAAGAAGATATGAGAAAATGATATAGTACAACTATCTACTTTTTATTGTTGTTGTTGTTGGCTTTTACATGTTTGGGCCATATTTACAATTATTTTCATTACACTGAGACCTTTTTTTCTTCTTTCTTTTGGTAGAGGTGAATGATTGCATGGTGTACCTCAAGAAACCAAATAATTGGTGGCAGCATATAATGTTTAAATTTATCGAACAAGTTTAAAGCCTCTTTCAGGAGAAAGCAAACAATCATAATGTTATAGGCATTTGCAGGTATTTCAGTAGGGCTGGAAGTTATCAACACTGTTTCTAAGTGTCCATCTACAGCACTGATGAAATAATACCTAAGGGTCTACATAAACTTTTAAACGAAGAAACAACATGCTTGGCCCAATGAGAATTTTAGACTCTTTTCTCTGATAAAATAGGAAAGAGCTGAAAAAGAGGTAGGCTTTCAGGCAAAAATTACAACAGATCCATTGTAGGGTCCAGCCCTACAGGGCTTTGCGGGTTTCTCCCCGTGTACGGAGACCAGAGATTGTAAGAAATAAAGACACAAGACAAAGAGCTAAGGAGAAAACAGCTGGGCCGGGGGGACCACTACCACCAAGACGCAGAAACAGTATTGCCCCCAAAGGGCTGGGCGTGCTGATACTTGTTGAATACAAGACTAGGGGGCAGGGTAAGGAGGGTGAGTTGTCCAAGTGATTGATAAGGTCAAGCAAGTCACGTGATCATGGGACAGGGGGCCTTTCCCTTTTAGGTAGCCGAAGCAGAGGGGGAAGGCAGCATACATCAGAGTTTTCTTCTATGCACTTATGAGAAAGATCAAAGACTTCAAGACTTTCACTATTTCTTTTACCGCTATCTTCTAAGAACTTCAAAGAGGAACCAGGAGTATGGGAGGAACGTGAAAGTGGACAAGGAGTGTGACCATTGAAGCACAGCTCCACAGGGAGGGGTTTAGGCCTCCGGATGACTGCGGACAGGCCTGGATAATATCCAGCCTCCCACAAGAAGCTGGTGGAGCAGAGTGTTCCCTGACTCCTCCAAGGAAAGGAAACTCCCTTTCACGGTCTGCTAAGTAACGGGTGCCTTCCCAGGCACAGGCATTACCGCTTGACCAAGGAGCCCTCAAGCGGCCCTTATGCGGGCGAGACAGAGGGCTCACCTCTTGCCTTCTAGGTCACTTTTCACAATGTCCCTTCAGTACCTGACCCTATACCTGCCAGTTATTCCTTGGTAATATGAGTAATACAACAAAGAGTAATATTAAAAGCTATTAATGTTTATACTAATGATTGATAATTGTCCATGATCATCTCTGTATCTAATTTGTATTATAACTATTCTTATTCTAACTATTTTCTTTATTATACTGAAACAGTGTGTGCCTTCAGTCTCTTGCCTCCGCACCTGGGTAATCCTTCGCCCACAATCCATATTCTGAACTCTTTTATATGCCTATTAGTAGAATCATTACGTGTGATGAGTTGGAAGAAAGGGAAGCAAAAGTAGTTTTTGTTCTCACAGAGAAGTACAAACATATACTTGTATTTGTCCAAGCGACAGGAAGAATACTCTGTAAGTGATAACCTCAGTCTTTGTTTCTTCATGAACAACTCATTTCAAGTGTAACGCTGAAAAATCTGTATGAAATATTCCAGAAAAGAAAAGACTGCGGATATGGCACTTTGATAGAATCAACACCCTGTTTTTGAATCTAGGGTTCACTGCTAACTTTGTGGCTTCTTTGTGTCTCAACATTCCCATTTGTAAAGTGGGCCTAATATTGGTAATTATTTTGTAGGATAGCTATGGGAATTAAGGAAGATAATTCATGCAAAGCATTTAGAACAATGCCTAGAACTTAGTGAGCAGTTAGTAAATACTGGATGTTACAAATTCTATACTGCTGTGTTTCAAAATGAAAATTCTTACATGAACTTCCCAAATATGTGCCATATTTGTTCTCTCTTCCCCTCGTTTCCGCTCAATGGACATAGGACTCTTCTCAGGTGTACTGTCTCCTAATAGAGCAGTGAGGATGAGTGTGACAATTAGGTGCATTGGAGAAGTTAACTCAAGAGCTTGTCAGGGTGAGATGAGGAGCTGGAACTTTAAAGTGATAGCAAAAGATTACTAAGTTGAGTGACTGAAATTTCCATAACAACAACAACAACAACAAAGATAGCACAGAAAGGAGGAAAGGAAAGGATATGAAAGAGAAGGGAAGGGATGGGGAAAAAAAAAAGACTCTAGCAATGCCATGATTCCTGGAGCATTCCTGAAGAGATGAAAATCTAGAGCTATTGAGTGTATATTTAGGCCTCTAAATAGATGGTTAAATCAGCACATTGTGGGAAATAAAATACTTGTGTTGCTGTGTTGCTGTTGGAATAAAGCATTCAATATTAAACTTTTGGTAGATAAAATTGGCTAGTAATTATCTTCTAAAAAATGACTTTCCTCTAAATGTATATTACTAACATAAGCACCAGATTTGTAATAGAATAGCTATCTCTTGTTAGCATTTTTAAGATTTCATAGGAAAAAGTCTGGAAGGGGCAGACTGTATTATTTATACATAAACTTACAGATCCCAAGGTTTTCTTCGTTTCATAGTTTAAAGAACAGTAGAAAGAAGAAGATGGTAGTGTCAAAGCAAAAATTGCACCAGGCAATGCTAAACAGGTAAGGAAGACTTTATAGAAGGATCTTGCAATAAAAGAGAGAGACCAAGATGCAGTTTGAATTCAAGAGGTAAAGACTTTTTAAGAACTGGGACTGGGAGGAACATAGCCCATCTGTGTTTGCTAATTGACTTTACCCAAAAAAACTTTCTGGTATCATCATGACAGGAGGTAGTTTCACAACTTGGAAGAGATATCAGTGAAGATAAGCTTCTACATTCACAGAAAGACTGGGAGATAGAGCCACTATGTTCCTTGATGATTATATTTCAAAGAATGGCTCCAAGTTCCTAGAGAAAGACAGTCCTGAGTTATAAAAATGGGAAAAGAGTTGTCTCTTCACTTTGTTGATTGGTTTCTTTGCTGTGGAGAAGCTTTTTAGCTTGATGTGATCCTATTTGTCCATTTTTGTATTTGGATGCCCGTGCTTTTGAGGTCTTATTCAAGAAATCTTTGCCCAGACCAATGTCCTGGTGTGTTTCCCCAATGTTTTCTTCAAGTAGTTTCATACTTGCAGGTCTTATTTAAGTCTTTTATCTATTTTGATTGGATTTTTGTATAAGGTGAAAGACACTGGTCCAATTTCATTGTTCTGAATATAGATATCCAGTTTTCCCAACACCATTTATTGAAGAGATTGTCCTTTTCCTAATGTATGCTCTTGGAACCTCTGTCAAAACGAGCTGACTGTAAATGTATGAATTTATATCTGAGTTCTCTATTCTGATTCATTGATCCACATGTCTGTTTTTGTGCCAGTACCATGCTGTTTTGGTTACTATAGCTCTGTAGTGTAATTTGAAGTCAGGTAATAATTCCTACACTTTTGTTCTTTTTGCTTAGGATGGATTTAGCTATTTTGGGTCTTTTGTATAAATTTTAGGATAATTTTTTCTATTTCTGTGAAGAATATCATTGGTATTTTGATAGAAATTGCTTTGAATCTGTAGATTGCTTTGGGTGGTATAGAAATTTTAACAGTGTTGATTTTTTCAATTTATTAGCATAGAATATGTTTCCATTTTTTTGTATGTCCCCTTCAATTTCTTCAGTGTTTTACAGTTTTCATTGTAGATATCTTTCAGTTTTTTGGTTAAATTTATTCCTATGTATTTTATATTATTTGTAGCTATTGTCAAATAGGATTACTTTCTTGGTTTCTTTTTCAGATCATTGCTGTTGGCATATAAAAATACTGCTGATTTTTGTATGTTGTTCTAGAATCCTGTAAGAATTTATTAGTTTTAACAGTATTTTTTTTTGGAATGTTTAGGTTTTTCTAAATAAAGTAAAAGTGAAGAGACAATCCACAGAGTGGAAGAAAATATTTACAAACTACTTATCTGACAAGCGATTAATAACCAGAATATATAAGGAACCCAAACAACTCAATTAAAAAAATCAAATAATCCAGTTAAAAATGGGCAAAATATTTGAACAGACATTTCTCAAAAGAAGAGAAATGGCCAAGAGCTATATGAAAAAAATGCTTAATATCACTAATTATCAGGGAAAAGCAAACCAAAACTACAATGAGATATTATCTCCTCCCAGTTAAAAAGGCTTTTATCTAAAAAACAGGCAATAACAAATGCTAGAGAGGATATGGAGAAAAGGGAACACTTGTACACTGTTGGTGGGAAGGTAAATTAGCATAACCACTATGGAGAACAGTTTGGAGGTTCCTCAAAAATGTGTATTGAAGGAATATTTGCACTTGCATATCTGGGAATATCTGCAGCACTATTTAAAATAGCCAAGATTGGCTGGGTGCAGTGGCTCATGCCTGTAATCCCAGCACTTTGGGAGGCCAAGGCGGGCAGATCACGAGGTCAGGAGATCGAGACCATCCTGGCTAACACGGTGAAATCCCGTGTATACTAAAAAATACAAAAAATTAGCTGGGCGTGGCAGTGGGTGCCTGTAGCCCCAGCTACTCGGGAGGCTGAGGCAGGAGAATGGCATGAACTCGGGAGGCGGAGCTTGCAGTGAGCCGCCACTGCACTCCAGCCTGGGGGACAGAGCGAGACTCCCTCTCAAAAAATAAAATAAAATAAAATAGCCAAGATATAGAATCAACCCAAGGGCCCATGAATGGATGAATGTATAAAGAAAATGTGGTACATATGCACACTGTAAAATATGTGTCAGACATAAAATGAATAAAATTCTGTCATTTGCAAAAGTAAGGATGTAACTGGAGGATATTTTGTTGAGTGAAATAAGCCAGGCATGGCAAGACAAATATCACAAGTTCTCACTCAAATGTGGAGCTAAAAGAATAATTGAACCTAGAGAACAGAGTAGAATGATGATTACCAGAGGCTCAGAAGGATAGTGGGGAGAGAGACATAAAGTGGGCATGGTTAATGGGTACAAAACTACAATTAGAGTAAATTAGATCTAGTATAACAGATCTAATATTGTAGCACAATAGGATGACTATAGTTAAAAATAATTTATTATACATTTTAAACAACTAAAAGAATAGAATTAAAATATTCTCAACACAAAATGATAAATTCTTCAGATGACAGATACTCTGATTACTCTGATCATTATACATTGTATACCTGTATCAAAACATAACATTTAACCCATAAAAATAGACAACTATTATGTACTCATAGTAATTAAAAATAAAAAAGAAGTACGAATAAGTTTTTTTAAATAGATTTAAATTTCAAAGGGTCAGAAAAATAATCTAGAATTACAAATTTTCTAAAGTTAATGCACTGAGAAAACAGAGAGGAGAGAACTCCGTGCTTAGGCTATCTGGATTCTGGAAGGATGGGTGTGAGAGGGAAGTCAGGGGCCTAGAGGCAAGAAGAAGCCTGACTGAAGTTTAGTGAAGTTGAAGGAAATATTAAGTCCATCTTGGTCAGCAGAGAAAAATGTTTGGTGCTAGTAAATGTGAAAAAAAAAAAAAGAAAAAAAAGACTTTCCAGAATTTTTGTAAAATTCAAGATGGTAGGTCTTTGGCATTTAAATAATTTATTGCTGTTTCTTTATTTAAGTGACCTAAAATATTTAGTCAAACATACTTTTAAAATTTTTAGACTTTTGAGAAACATGAAATTTAAATTGATATAAAAAGTTAATATAAAGAATTCTAGAGCATTAACTTAGTAGAAAGAAAATATAAATGGTGACTTTAACATATTATTCTGTAATTGCTATATGGAAAAAAATTCTCCATTAACAGAGAAAATTAAAATGGGTTAATGTTTAATAGCACTTGTGGGTTTAATTAAATATAAGGAATACTTCTCTATCTGTTAAATACAGTTAAATACTGGAGGTATATTTGAAACAACTGCCTTGCACATATATCATGTTGAACTTCACCTTCACCCAATTGTTAGAGAGTCCCTTCTGATATCTTGGCTACATTCAATGACTTTCCAATTTCTCTCTGCTATCAGAACAGTTTCACTTTGCTATAAAGTCCTGTTCGTTAAAAAACTTCAATCCCTGTCTCTTCTCATCGTCTCTGCCTATGCTGACTAGGTCTCAGTGGCTTTAAGGACTTAGAGTGTAAGGGGAAGACAAGGTCTACTCTTTTTACACTCCTCTTCAGTCGAAGGTGTGTTTTCAGGGTAGTGGTGGAGTGGCAAGGCGAGTGAAATGTGTAAAATATCCAACTGAAAAGGTTGTAGTTCTCTTTTTACTGGGTTTAAGCACTTTTTGGTTATCCTTGTGACTATCAATTAAAAGGAGACAGATGACTATTCCAGCAGGTTCCACTGTCTATTACAGAGTCACTTCTTTCCTGCATCTCCCTTAGTCCTGTGCTGTCTGTCCCTCCACATCCTCCTGCTGATCTTCACCTGTGACATTCACAGTTTCTCCCTCTGACATGTGATCTTTGTCCCAATGCTTTGAGTGCCCCAATAAAGCTGAAGCCCCAAATTTATCGAGCCTCTCTGCCCAACAATCCAGATTGCATTGGAACTCAGTATCTATCTCCTGCACCTTTTAGAAACAAAACATGAATAGAGAAGATCCTTGCCTTCTCTTTGCTTGGCAGTCCCCTGGGAAACCATTTATTACTATCCAATTCTCTCTTTTGCCTTGTCCAGTTAGCACAGAAACAGATCATCAAGTTGAGACTTTCAAAGGATACCCAAAAAGGGGAAAACAATACTACTCTGTGTTTTTAGGGATCTTTTATCTTTATAAGTGAGTCTCTTGGAGCCCATTTCTCTTGGCTCGAGGAAGCAAGGTTATAGTTCATAATGATTAAACTCCTGAACAAGCCAATAACATCCTTAATTTTCAGCCCTCTTTTATATTGACTACAATTGGGCTAGGTAGAATAGGCTAGACTTCTAAATGGCTATTTTGAGTAGTTCTGTTGGATTGTGGTTTATTCTGATTTATGATAACTTTGTATACTTATTGTGAAAAGAATGCGGTGCCTTCCATCTTCAGTTTAGGGTTTATGATACATTCTTGAACAGGGAAAACTCTCACAGGATATGTGGCTGCATGTAAAATATTTTCTCATAGGGTTGTTAAAGGCATTCAATGAAATTCTGTGTGTTAGGATCAGTGCTTAGAATATTCTGGACACACTGAAAGTTACCATAATCATGTTTCTCTTTTCCATCTTGAAATTCTTTCTTACCCTGGCCTTTGTCACAGTGACCCATTCAGATTATCCTGTCTCAATTTTACCATTTACTGGTTCCTCTAGCTGTCAACAACTGGTAGGTAAGCACCAAAATTTCACTACCATTGTAATACAATATATACATATACATCCATATTTTGGAGGCCATTTCTTTCAAGTTCCAGGCTCATGTGGCAAAGTGTCTCCAAAGAATTGATATGTAGTTATTTCAGCCTAATCTCTGTTTTTAAAATCAATTTTTTATCTAACTAAAAGTACCTTTCTTTACTATAATTTCCATAATTTTTGTCTTTGACATTTTTTCCTCCATTACTGAAGACAAAAAACTCCAAATTTTATGAGAAACGTTTTTATCTGTAATGCAAAAGAATTAGCCAGATAATAAATTTTATCAACCTTTATTATGGAAAAAATCAAATTTGTCTTTAGTTTTTCTTCTCACTGCAAACAGCAAAGGCAAACTCTTAGAACCTCATGTGTGGGCACTTGTGATAAGCCATTAACTGGTTAACCTTTGGGCCCTCTTTTCCAATCTCCAAATCATACTGCCCAGTGCTTTTCTAAACCAATCTGCGTTAATCACTGCTTTCATAAAGGCACTCTCCTGCCAAAAAGGAAACTTCAATAGTTCCATTTTTGTCTTCAAAATAAAGTTCAAACTCTTTTATATAGCATTCATAGATTCATATCTCTCTAAATCAGCCCCCAACTTTTGCCCCTGAAAATCTCCGCTTCAGCTGAAGTGGTCTCTTCACCATTTCCAAGATATAACTTGCTCATCTATACATAAAACATACTATTTTTACTTATCTGCTTAACTAAAGCTCACCCTTCCAACAACTACCTCAAGTTTTACATTTCCAATGAAACATTCTAGGCAACACCCTCCATATCCTTGGAGTAACTTTTGCCAAATAAATTTCTTTTTATTTAACATTGAGATTTTTGAGAGGTTAGTATGTATGTTTTAGACCCTTGCTATTTGTTTTGTATCCATGATTTCATTCAACACACACACACACAAAAAAACTTGGAAAATGGGTGTTTCATCCACATCTTTCAGATGGAAACCTAGGCATAAAAATGTTTCAAAATAAGTCAAGTTTCATTATATGGCAAGGCCAGGATTCAAATGATGGGGTTGTTCTCATTGTGAAATTCTTTTATTTTCATTACTTTGCTGAAGCATTTGAGAGATAAAAATTAATGGAGACAAAGAAAAGAACTTTTGATTTCATGGAATATTGGGAACTTAAGGCAGACTGAAAATGTTAAGAAGTAAACAGATGCTAAAAAATAAGGTAATAGATCTACTTAATATTTGGATTCATTTTATATATATGCATAGAATTATATACATAATTTCAAAAAAAATGCCTAGATGGGCTCCATGTAGCGACATAAGGATTTAAAAGAAAAAGAAAATGAAAGGATGGGGAAGAAAAATAAATAACAGGGCTTTCCAACTGTAAGTAGGCTAAGAAAACTTTTCTGTGGACAGTCACTTTTATGAAGGACATTATGTTGTTAAGATATATTCTCAGTGAGGTATCATCAAATAGCAGCAAGCCATAGATAATAAGGCCATATTAGCACATAAATGTAAAAGGTTTATATGTGCCCCATTCCAGTGACCTTTACTGTACACTGTCTTGAGTTTGCCATAAAATCATTAATAAGTTTGGTTAAAGGGGAATTGAAACTCATGCAACCGTGCCTAAATTACTTCTAGAAAAGTAAGTAGTGCCACAGTCATTAGTGTTTAAAATTAATGTGTGCATTTTTCCTGTTAATAATTATGCCCATTTAAAATAACCATTACTCCTATAATGTGAATTTAATGAGGAAAATATATGAGAATATTATTAATTTTCTTTCTGTTAAATTAACAAGCCCTTTTGCTGTTATCTAATGTGAGTATCAATAGTAAAAAAATCAATTAAAGTCAAATACAAAGTTGATGAGGACTCAAAAACAACTTCAACTCACATATAGCATACTGCCATTAAAATATTAGAAAATAAACATACACGTTTCTACACTAAAGTAAGCATGCATAAATAATTAATGTGGGGACTGATATGGCATTCACCAAATCTTGCATCTGTTTTCATATCATTTCCCATAAAGTCAACATAACATTGTGAGACTAGTGTTGAGCAATATTTTTTAAATTTTTTATGTTGAAATAATGTAAGAATAGAAAATCCATAAAAATAGCACAAATAATTCATGTACACTCTTCATCCAGATTCCCCAAGCATTGACATTTTAATATATTTGCTTTATTATTAATATTTTTTTCTTCCTTTTTTCTGGTCTCTTTGTCTCTCTCTGTACACAAACAGGTGAACACACACACACACACTATTTGCCTAAATGTATGAGCAACTCACACAGTTACATTATGTTCTTTAACTCTAAATACTTTAGTGTGGGTCTCCTAATAACAAGATTCTTAAGCAGAGAACAAGTATCAAAATCAGATTATTAACATTTTGTATTCTTATTCAATACACATAATTTATTTAAATTTTTCTTAGCAGTGTTTTTAAAACAATGCTTTACAGGCATACCTTGTAATATCACACTTTGCTTTATTGCACTTCACAGATACTGAGTGTTTTACAATTGAGGATTTTGGCTACCTGTGTAGAGCAAGTCTATCCATGCCATTTTTCCAACAGCATGTGCTCACTTCATGTCATTATGTCGTATTTTGGTAACTCTCATGGTATTTCAAGCTTATTCATTATTACTATATCTGTTATGGTTAACTGTATCAGTGATCTCTCATGTTACTCTTGTAATTGTTTTAGGGTGCCATAAGATAGCTAACTTAATACATACCAGTATGTGTTTTGACTGCTTCACCAACTAGCTATTCCTGTTTCACTCTCTCTCCTCGGGCCTCCCTATTCCGTGAGATACAACATATCGCATAGGCCAATTAATGGCCTACATTGGCCTCTAAGTGTTCAAGTGAAAGAAAGAGTCAAACAAACGTCTCTCATTTTAAATCAAAAGCAAGAAATGATTAAGCTTAGTGAAGAAGGCATGTTGAAAGTCAAAGCAGGCCAAAAGCTAGGCCTCTTATGCCAAATAGCCAAGTCATTAAGGCAAAGGAAAAGTTCTGGAAGGAAATTAAACGTGCTACTCCAGTGAATACATGAATGACAAGAAAATGAAACGGGCTTATTGTGATACGGAGAAAGGTTTAGTGGTCTGTATAGAAGATCAAACCAGCCACCACATTCATTTAAGCCAGAGCCTAATCCAGAGCAAGACTCTAGCTACCTTCAATTCTTTGAGGGTTCAGAGAGGTGACAAACTTGCAGAAGAAAAGTTTGAAGCTAACACATGTTGGTTCCTGAGGATTAAGGTGAGAAGCCATCTCTACAACATAAAAAGTACAAGGTGAAGCAACAAGTGCTGATGTAGAAGCTGCAGCAAGTTATCCAGAAAATCTAGTGGAGACCATTGGTGAAGGTAGCTACACTAAACAGTAGATTTCAATGTAGACAAAACAGTCTTCTATTGGAAGAAGATGTGTTCTAAGACTTCCATAGCTAGAGAGGAGAATCCAATTGAAGAATTCAATGCTTAGCCTCAAAGCTTTAAAAGACAAGATGTCTTATTAAGGGCTAATGTGATGACTTTAAGTTGAAGCCAATGCTCATGTACTATTCAAAATCCTAGGGCTCTTAAGAATTATACTAATGTCACTCTGCTGTGATACACTAATGGAACAATAAAGGCTAGATAGATGATAGCACATCCGCTCACAGTATAATTTATTGAATAGTTTAAGCCCATTTTTGAAACTTACATCTCAGAAAAAAAAAAAAAAGATTCTTTCAAAATATTATCGCTCATTGACGATGTACCTAGTCACCAAGTGCCCTGATGGAGATGTTCAAAAAGATGAATATCTTCATACTGGCAAACACAACATCCATTCTGCAGCCCATTAATCAAAAAGTAATTTTGACTTTCCTTTTTTTCTTTTTTTAAGAGACAGGATCTTGCTCTGTTGTCCAGGCTGGAGTGCAATACTGTCATCATAGCTCACTGCTGCCTCAAACTCCTGAGCTCAAGTGATCCATTTGTCTCAGCCTCACAAGCAGCTGGGACTACAGAGATACACCATCACAGCCAGCTATTCTTTCGATTTTTTAATTTGTTATAGAAACGGGGTCTCACTATTTTGCCCAGGCTGGTCTCAAACTTCTAGGCTCAAGTGATCTCTCATTCTTGCTCCTCACTTCCCTATGTGCTGGGATTACAAGTGTGAGCCAATGTACCTGGCATAATTTTGACTTTCAAGTCTTATTATTTAAGAAATAAATTTCGGCCGGGCGCAGTGGCTTACGCCTGTAATCCCAGCACTTTGGGAGGCCGAGGCGGGCAGATCACGAGGTCAGGAGATCGAGACCATCCTGGCTAACACGGTGAAACCCCGTCTCTACTAAAAATACAAAAAATTAGCCGGGAGAGGTGGCGGGCGACTGTAGTCCCAGCTACTGGGGAGGCTGAGGCAGAATGGTGTGAACCCCGGGGGGCGAAGCCTGCAGTGAGCCGAGATCGCGCCACTGCACTCCAGCCTGGGCGACAGCGAGACTCCGTCTCAACAATAAATAAATAAATAAATAAATAAATAAAATAAATTTCATAAGGCTCTAGCTGCCGTAGATAGTGATTCCTCTGATATATCTAAGCAAAGTCAACTGAAAACCTTCTGGAAACTATTTACCATCCTAGATGTCATTAAGAACATTTGTGATTTATGAGAGGAGGTGAAAATATCAACATTAAAAATAGAGTTTGGAAAAATTTGATTTCAGTCCCATGAATGAATTTGAGGGGTTAAAGACTTCAGTGGAGAAAGTAATGGCAGATGAGGTGGAAATAGCAAGAGAATTAACATTAAAAGTGGAGCCTGAAGATGTGACTGAATAGCCAGAGTCTGATGATAAAACTTGAATGGATGAAGAATTGTTTATTTAGTTTTCTATTTGATGAGAATTTAGAATATTACACAGATGTATTTGATAAAGTACCAGAAGGGTTTGAGAATTTAGAATATTACACAGATGTATTTGATAAAGTACCAGAAGGGTTTGAGAGCATTGATTCAAATTTTGAAAGAAATTCTACTGTAGGTAAAATGCTATCAAACAGCATCACATACTACATAAAAATCTTATATGAAAGGAAGAGTCAATTGATGCAGCAAACTTCATTACTGTCTTATTTTAGGAAATTGCCACAGGCACGCCAAGCTTCAGTAAATACCAACCTGATCAGTCAGCAGCCATCAGCATTGAAACAAGACCCTCAACCACCCAAATTATGCTGTGAACTCACTGAAAGTTCAGATAATAGTTTGCGTTTTTCAGCAATAAAGTATTTTAATTAAGCTATATGCATTTTTAGACAATGCCATTGCACAATTAATAGACTATAGTGTAATTATACTTTTATATGCACTGCGAAACCAAAAAATGCATGTGACTTGCTTTACTGTGATATTCACTTTATTTCAGTGGTCTAGAACCTAACCTGCAGTATCTCTGAGGCCTGCCTGTGTATAACTGTAAATATTCATTTGTTTCGAGGTAATTTTAAGACTTTCAGAAATGCTATTCCTGTAAGATGTTCACTCTGTTAATTTTAGTAATGGAAAATATTCCTCACTTTCCATCCTAGATAAAACTCATCTGGTCTTCAAATGTTATTAAAAGAAATTTGAACGGACAGCCTCAAAATAGATTGACTGAATATAAATAAATTTTAAGGTTCAGATATAAATGAAAAATAAAAAGCTTACATCAATGATTTCAAATGGCAACCTGGATCTGCTCTAGGATACCAGACACTTAGATAATTATTTTCATGTGTCATGTCAGTGAATCCTCTCAACAATATTAAGGTCAATATTATTAAATAATCTCATTGATGAAAAAACTGAAATTGAGTTTTAATAACTGGTTCAAGGTCCTAGATAACAAAACTATATAGGATTTAGAAGTTGATCCTAAGTATATGCCACAAAGCAGAGTCCAAGCATTTCATTATGTCTGCCTTTGTTTCTGCTGTGAAATTCACATTACCATGGCTTCCCATCTTGCTGTCAAGCTTTGCATAAAGGCCATCCCTACCTTCCTCTGCTTATCTCAGGAATCTCTGACTATAGGATTCTCTTTGCCTTCTCAGACTCATCATTTAAGGTCGATATGGTGCCTACATTCTTGTCCCCACACATCTGCCACATGACTCCTGTTAGAGACATCTGCCAAACTATTCACCAATAGCTTATTATGCACATGGTACATAGAAAAATATTTGGTCCAGAGGCTGGAGGTGGGCAAAGATTCCACAGCTAGCACTTTCTGCCACTTTCTGAGCTGTTCCCCATTTCAACCTGCTCTTCTGTTTTACCCTTAAAAATAAGTTTGGCTTGTATAAAACATAACCTCATATGAAGTCACAAAAATTATGGTTCAGAATGCTGGCACTTCACTTAGGAACATCTATTGACTGACCCTTCTGTTATTGTTGCTTATGTTTCTGGAGGTTAATACTTTTGAAAAAGCACATTCAAAGGAGTTCTAGAATAATTTACCCCAGAATACAGGTACAAACAATAGTTCATATCTAATTCCCTTAAGAGCTGAAGAGAAAAAATTCAACAAAATAAGGATTGTCATATTTGTTGCAAAAAATCTTTGTAGGTAAGTGGAATTACCTGTTAAAACTGACATTTTCTTTTCTTGTCTTTCCTGAGAAATTCTTGGAGTACGCCCTTAGTGTAACTTTAATTTTCTCTTTGCCCTGACTTGGTGGCTTGATTTACATAATTCATAATCCTGATTCATATGTAAGTCATTCATTTGCTTTCTTCTCCAAAATCCAGAGAACTTCCAAATGCAAAGATGGTACCAGTGAGTTTGCACATGCTGACACCTAAAAGCAAACAGGAATTAATAATGTACACACACAAAGTATGTTTAATTTACGAAGTCAGACCTGCATTTGTAAGATTGTGTACCTACCGACATCCCTCTACTAATTTTTAATGAGATGGTGAGAAGTCTGGAAACTGTATTAGATTCCTGAGAACAGGAGTGCAAAAATAATATGGGGTACATTCAATTTAGAGCATTCTGTAGTCCCAGAAGGTTTACCCTGAAGTACAGTAGAAATGGAATACAGGATACATGTAAAAGAAGAAAACTGCATAGCAAAAGTGTTTCACAAGAGTAGATTTGAGTATTTTTTTTTCTAGAAGCAAAGTATGTATAATACTAAGACCATGCAGTCACTAGAGCTTAATGTTTTAAAATACAGATAAATATAGAGTCTTGCATGAAGAGAAAAGTGTTATTGTATTGTTCTTTAATAGGATTTTAGGGACTTCCTCAAAAAGCTCCAGTTTGAAGAGATACTTAAAATAGATCTCTAAAAATAGCAAGTAATAAAATAAAAATAAAATATATACCTTTTGTATATTATACTTTGAAAAATCACCTGCATATTCTCATCTGGGAGAAACCTTTTATAAAAATATTTGTGTTTTCTTTAATATGTACTGCAGAAATAAATTTACCTGTTAAAAGTGCACATAAAGTAAAAAGTGAATTATATATATATACATTTTATTTTAACATTTAACTATACAGAAATTATACAAATAAGTTATAAAATATATATTTTTGCAACAGCATTGAATGCTTTTTGTATTAATTTAGTTAATCAGGCCAATAAGTGATCAAAATAATAATTTTTTAAATTAAAATGATATATCACAAATATTTTCTAGGCCTACTGTTATTAAAGCAATTAGAAGTTTATGTTTTTCCAGTCAAAATTTGCAGGTTATCTTAAAACACTCTCAATTCAGAACACTTTTGCCATCCCAAAAGTGTTTTCTACCTCCTCAGAAGAAATCCATTTTTGTATGTCTTTGCTGCCTTTGAACTCTTTAATGGCGTATTAAGTACAAGAGATACTTTTGTGCGGAGATTTGGAGAGTGGAAGTAAAGCGGTAGTTATTGGTTTTATGCTTAGAAGGTTGAAACAGGTGCTTTTGCAGCTCTTACGTGTGGCACTTGTCTGCTGGCTAATTTGGTCTGGGACAGAAGCCAGGCCTGCAATTACTCCACCTTGCCCTAGTGGATCTTTGCTGACTGGGTTTGAGATGTGCTCAGCACTGTGATGAAAGGTGACAGCTTTTCTTGCAGGACACCTAAGGGTTCTAGTCCATCTTTATCATTTCCAGCCAGCTTATGCTCACAGACTCCAGATCATGGTCGTGTGTTTAAATTTATTCTTGTTCTATGCACTTTACATTCATCTTTCTTTCTCAATGGCCACCACGTGGACCTCAAGCTCTAACAATGGAAGCAAAGATAGCAGTCGTATAGTGTTTAACCAACACCTGTAATGGCTAAAGTCTTTGTTTTCTGGTTGAACCCTGATACAGTCATTACCATCATCAGAAATAATTTGTAAATCAAGAAAGCAACACTAAAATGAAATAAATTTAATCTAATAACATAAGAAGTAAAAGCAAGGTCCACAAAAATCTTTTAAAAAGTTTTATGTTTATAGCAATCTTTATTTCTTGACATCCTTATTTAAAGATTTCAGATAACTAAAAGATACCAATAATTAAGCTATTTTTTCTTAGCTTCAAATCTACCCTTCTTTGTGATTCTGGAGTTAGAGTTCTACAATTCTCCCCTTCATCGGCTAGAATTCTATTGGAATATATAAATTAGGAGCATGAAAGGGTCACTGCATGAGGACGAGAGAGCATTTGCTTTTTCCTGTTTGTTTTCTATTCTTGTTGGAGCCTCCCTACCAATGGCTCTGCTCTGGCAGGAACAGTTGGTTATAGTAGCCAGCTTCTTTAGTTAATTCTAAAGCCAGTTTACCAAAACTCCTTATGAAGGCCAGCCAACCAGCCCTACCCCTCCCCAGAAGTCTGAGCCCTTGTTCTATGGGCCTCTCCTTTTATCATCTAAGGCACTAAAAAGAAAAAAAAAAAAAAATCCCACCTTAGAATGCTAAGTACCTCTGTCTTGTGGAGTCTTTCATCTGTGCTTCTATCTGCTCCCCCTCAAACTGCCACATTATTTCACCCAGACCTAGAGATGGCCTGTTTCTTGTGTGAGTGTTTTATTTTTTATTTTTCATACTCTAACTCCTGTTTAACTAGTTCCCTGTATTAAATTATGTCTGTTCAAAATAACCAGAGTTCTTTCTGAATTCCTGACTACATCCTAAATGATGAGACCATCACAAATTCTTTTCACTAAAGTATTTTAAACACTAACTTAATTTATCACTTTATAAAATTCTAAATGACAAGCTAAAACTGATTGTGTGGATTTTATATGACTAACTGTGTGGGCTTTAGTTAGTTAATGAAAAGATGAAATACTGGGTGGAAGCAAAGCAGATTATTTTTGCCATGTTGTGTATGACCATATAATATGCAGCTGAAGACTTTAATACTGATATTTCTTTCCAGATTCCATTGTCAGTATCCATATATGTGTCAACTTCTGGTTTAATATATGATTCATTTTTTATTGTCTCAGTTGCCCTTTGTTCTGTTAGCATTAATATATATTTTTATATATTTTAGTTTTACTTTTTCGCACAATAATTGAGTAATTATTCAATTGAAAAAGTTTTCTTTGAGCTTTTCTTATGCCTAAAGAAGTAAATTATCACATACAACATATGAAGGAGGAGTTAGATTAAAATAGCTTCAAAACAGCTTTCTACTGAAAACATTATTCAAAGGCACAGATAATTTTCATGAAACTTTTAAATTTTATACTGGAAGAATATTTACCTTGTCTGAGCCAATTGCTCTATTTGGACTTGTTATTTATAACAGATTTTTTTTTCACATGAACAAATTCATATTTTATCACTTTATCAAAGTGTTATTTTATGGGTAGTTGCATCTGAACTTTATCAAGTAACTTATTGGAATATCTAGGTGTTACATGCAATCTCTGGGATGTTTTGAATGAGAGAGGCTGAAATAAATGCATTCTCTTCTGGATTTTATATGTATTTATTGAGTATTAATGTTACTTAAAGAAATACGAGTCCCTTCAGGGCTTGTGTGTGTGTTTATTTATGTGTGTCTGTGTGTTTGTGTAAGGAAGAAAAAGCAAACACAATAAAGTAGACTGTGGGAGTAGAACTGTGGCATTCAGATGTGAAGAGAAAATGTCAGTTTACCTCGGGCCCTGAAAAACAATATATTTGAAAAGTTCAGTTATGCCCATATTAAAAAGTGGTGATCTTTAAATGGGTAAGAATATTAGTAATGGATGTATATTTAATTATAATTACTTTTTCCTTGGTAATTAAGTTTTCAGTTTTGGTTCATAAATGGTCAAATATTTTACAAATCAAACACTTCCAAGTATGAATCTTGCTTCCTGGATTATAAGTATGTCTAAAGACTTAAAAACAATATCTCAAAAGAAGTCTTGAATGTTGCAGGAAGTCAGGGACCCCAAACAGAGGGACCAGCTGAAGCCATGGCGGAAGAACATAAATTGTGAAGATTTCATGGACATTTATTAGTTCCCCAAATTAATACTTTTATAATTTCTTACACCTGTCTTTACTGCAATCTCTGAATATAAATTGTGAAGATTTCATGGACACTTATCACTTCCCCAGTCAATACCCTTGTGATTTCCTATGGCTGTCTTTACTTTAATCTCTTAATCCCATCATTTTCGTAAACTGAGGAGGATGTATGTCACCTCAGGACCCTGTGATGATTGCATTAACTGCACAGATTGTTTGTAGAGCATGTGTATTTGAACAATGTGAAATCTGGGCACCTTGAAAAACGAACAGGATAACAGCAATGTTCAGGGAACAAGAGAGATAATCTTAAACTCTGACTGCCGATGAGCCGGGCGGGACAGAGCCATATTTCTCTTCTTTCAAAAGCAAATGGGAGAAATATCGCTGAATTCTTTTACTCAGCAAGGAACATCCCTGAGAAAGAGAATGCGTTCCTGAGGGTAGGCCTCTAAATTGGCCTCCCTGGGTGCGGACATCTTTTATGGTTGCCTCTAGGGATGAAATAAGCCCCAGTCTCCCATAGCACTCCCAGGCTTATTAGGACGAGGAAATTCCCACCTAATAAATTTTTGGTCAGACCGGTTGTCTGCTCTCAAACCCTGTCTCCTGATGAGATGTTATCAATGACAATGTGTGCCCAAAACATCATTAGCAATTTTAATTTCACCCCGGTCCTGTGGTCCTGTGATCTCGCCCTGCCTCCATTTGCCTTGTGATACTCTATTACGTTGTGAAGCACATGATCTCTGTGACACACACCCTATTCGTACACTCCCTCCCCTTTGAAAATCACTAGTAAAAACTTGCTGGTTTTACGGCTTGCGGGGCATCATGGAACCTACCAACATGTGATGTCTCCCCCGGACGCCCAGCTTTAAAATTTCTCTCTTTTGTATTCTGTCCCTTTATTTCTCAAACCTGCCGACGCTTGGGGAAAATAGAAAAGAACATACGTGAAATATCGGGGGTGAATTTTGCCCAATATCTGGCTAAATTTCCCCCAATACTTGAAGACCAAAAGTCAATTTTTAAAGTAGCCTTCAGCGTAAAAGGTAACAATTTTAAATCACAGAATTCAGAGAATAATCATGGACCAGTTGTGCCTAGAGTTAGTAGTTTCAAATGTTTAACACTCCATTTGCCCCAGATTTATATATTTATTTTCCAAATCAGTCTGTGTGTGTGTGTGTTGGTGTGTGTATGAATGACAGACAGAGACAGTATCCACTGACAGCTCCAGCACTATGTGGTCTTTATCTCTTATAATTCTACATTGAGAGAAACTTTTACCCCTAACTTTTATATATCAATTTTCATTGAGTACCTGTGATTGCATCCGTTTGAATCAAACGGTTTTCTCTTGAACCAATCACTTTAAACTGGGGAAACAGTTTGGCTAAGTTTGTATTACCAACCCTAAAGTCAAATTACATGTAACCATCTATATTAACTTTTCTGATGGTACAAAGATGTGTATGATTTATATCACCTTGAGATGTAATACATAATACTTAGTTTCATATTACTCTGAGAGGGTGGGAAAGAAAAATAATTAGAAATATTTGGTTTTTATGTTAATAAATTAAGTCATTTATTTCATTTAATATGAATTCTCAAAATTCTACTGCTTTTTCCCCAAGTTTTAAGGTCTTATATAATAAAATTACTAACTCTGTGAATGTGAGATAGTTCCGTTTAATGTTTTCATTTAAATAAAATTTTATGTTTTATTAAAAGTACATGAGCTGATAAAGTATATGACTTCTCATACCTATTATTCTGTTTTATGAATGTTATTGAAAATGTCTGTACTATGCCTTAACACAGCCACACTAACACTATAATATATGATTCAGAACCTCACATAATCTAGATTGCCTCATTCATAATGTATTCATTTGGAAATATTTCACATGAGGAAAACTGAACTTCTTCAAAGTGATCTGTAAGAGTCATTTGAAATTTAGCTATTCCACAAACATTTTCAACCACGGTAGTTAGAAAAATAATTGCCTAACTCTAAATTCCTTCAGCACATATCATATGAACTATTGATTTATTTCTTAACATTAATCATTTTATCATTAATTTCTGTGGAGTCAAATTTAGTAGGCTGCTTTATATTGTAGACTTTGAAAAAAAAACGAAAGAAAACAACAAACAACAACAACAAAAGAATGTGTGTGTTAAGCACTGGCCATGGTAGGGTCTAACATATATTGTTCTAATACTGATGATTTCTACTGGCCTTTCATGTGGAGTATACTGCAGCAGAGCTACATGCATAACTCAATGTCACCACCCTGGTCTACTCAATAAGGTGTCATCTACTGGTCCCTGGGTATGTTCAGGAAAATTGCCATATCGTTTCCATAGGAAATTATTATGATCCCAAAGGCAGTCCACAGCTTATTTTAATAATTTGTCATTAATAGAGAATAATAATTACAAAAGCACTTATTTTTGGAAGATGTCACAAAGATGTTCCTGAATAATATAGTTCACTAAACAGACAATGCTTCCTTAGGCAGGACACTGTGGCGTTCATCCCTAAGATTATAGAATATTCATTTCATAATCTTAAGACTCCTCAATATTTTTTACCAGACTCTTCCCTCTTCATATTTAAGAATGGCTAAACATCAGATTACTTAGGTGCCAAATACTGGTTGGAAAAATTGTGGGAGGAGACCTCTGTGTCCCAGAGGCAATTGTTTCAATTGTCATATTTGCCAACACTTTTCAGTAATTTCATGTTCCAATTCAGAACTGTATAAGCAGATTTGCATTCTAAATTTCTCTGTAAAATTTTAAATGCCATAGTTCATAGATTTCACAGTTATAAAGTTCAATAATAATAGTCATTGTGAAATTGAACTTTGTGATAATTTTAATAAAATCTGTGTCATATTTTGTTGTGTATATAAGGAAAATTGAAACTTTTCCTTACAAAAGGCATATTTTCCTTATTATGTTTGTTTTAGAATGAGATTTTGCATACATAGCTACAGAAATGCATTTATAAATTTCTAACTCATGTTATTGAAATTCAAAATACAAAGTACTCAATCTTTTCTATTGTAATTATTTAAATAAATAATATTTCAATATGTAATTAAAAATAATCCTATCCTAAATTGGTACTTCTACAAATTTGTTAACTTTCAAGAAATGTTCCTATATGTTTCACATGATATTAGATTTAGGAAAGATAAATAACATATAACATTTAATCAAATGCCTGAACTAGCAGAATACAATCAGCCACTAGAAAATTGGTTATGTTCCTTTCAGCATTGTAAGGAAAACACTCCCAAATCTGACCCTTGGAAATGTTGCCAGAGATTTGCTTCAAATCAGTGCATAACAAAAGGATTTCTCTTTGCAAATGTTAAATCCCAACTCATTTCCTTCTGAATCCATCAGCCCCACAGCTTTTCCTCTCTCAGCCTCAATGGCAGGATTGTGAAAGCAAACAGCTGTCCCTCCATTATTTTTTTTCATTACATGCTACAGACTGTCACTAGCTCTTATAAATTCAGATTGAACTGAACAGTCTGAAGAAGTTCAGTTCAGGGTCAAGCTCCCTGAAATAGCATGAAATTGTGCATTGCTGGAAACAAAGGGTTTAATCTTTGTGCCAAGGGTCATAAAACAGGATCATCTGGTTCTTTCAACCATTACTCTTCTACTGCAGCTAGTTCCTGGAAATTTGTAACTTTCAGTGATTGAAAGAAGAAACTGTCCGTTGCTTAAGAGAAGGGAAAAATGCTGTAACAGTGACTTGGACTTGATTTACTGATGTTCTGCTTCACTGACATATTCAATAAATTGCAATTAGTTTTCGCAGACTTAATATTCAAAATCCATGGTTACTGGAGTGTGCTTTGGAAGATTCAGTCATGTAAACCAGGGCAATGTATTGATGCACATGTGCTACATACTTTAGTGACATTACTTCTTTTGATTTGATGTTCTCTTTGCCCAGCAATATTTCAGCTATTCTAAAAATGTCCTCCTTTGTAATTCACAACCCAAAAATCATTTTTCCCATTATCAGGCAGAAAAGAAACAGAATTCATGCTTAAAGATAACTAAGAAGATATGAAACTAAATTATACTACGATTGCTTTTGTAAAGCTCTTTATGAATTGGGAGAAATAATTATCTATTCATTAAACAAGCATTTTAGAGGTAGTGGTTAAAACTTTCTGTTTTCAAATAAAATAATACAAAAATAATTTTATTTTTTGGCATAAGTATGAGAAAATAAGATACATGACAGAAAGAAAGAAGATATACAGAATCAGTCTAGGTGCTGGTAACATTTTTTGTTACACTATATCGTTTGACATTTTGCCTGAATTTCCCTTATTCTAAGAGCCAGAATATTATGGTGAAAGTCATGTTGTATTTTTTTAGTTTGAGGTTACTTTAGGATATATCTTTTAGAGAAATACTTATTTTGGAACGTATCCTTAATTTTAATAATTCAGGTTATATGTGAAACACATACACACACACACACACACACACACACAGAATTATAGGGTTTCACATGACTAGCAACTGATGTTCTGTTTCTGGTTTGAACTGCATCTACATTTCTTTTTAGAAACCCATATAGAAGCAGTATTTATTACTTTCTATTTGCCTGAAGTCATATACTCAATGTTTTCTGTCTTATTTTTCTTCTGTAACTTATTATTTTCTCTTAATTGTGCACAGAAAATAAACTTAATCAGATGTGATTTCTCATGAATGTAAGAAAGGGATAATCCCTACCCTTAAAAAATTTTAGTTTATAAATCACTTGGAACCACTCCATATTCTATTATTTCTTCTCATGTGTGAATTCTCACAGTCATCAGAGTTTTTACTAAAGATATAGTCAATTTACTTCTAGAAACAAAAGCACGCTTTCTAACAGCTTGTGACAACAATACTGTTTTTTGAAGTTACAGGCACATTAGACAAATTGGGGTATTTAAATGGCCCTTGTAGTTTGTAATTTTCTTGTGGATGCATGTATTCACTTTTTGGAAAAATTTGTTTGTTGTTGAATTGAAGTCTATACTTCAAAAGAATGTTCAGAAGCTCTGTGATCTTATGAGGAAAGGTAAAATTGATAAGGTGAGAAAAAAAAACAGATTCTACCTTAGAAAATTGTGTACTTGAAAAATCTCAATCAAAAGTAAAAGTAAGTTGAGTGTATTTTAATTAGATTATTACTTATTTTTAAACATTTATTTTTATATTACTAAATTTACTTTAAATTGCCTTTATTTTATATAACTATTTTTTCTACACATTTTTTGTTTCGTGCACAATATAGGACTGCAAATTCCTAGTATATCTAGACTGAACCTTAAGTCTAAAATCTTTGAATATTTATATATGCTTCTTACCTGTCACTGAACTATATTTTTCTTTAACATACAAGTACTACCCAGTCTTTGGAAGTATGGAAAGCTACCAAAAATTATGTATGTTTTCTTGACAATATTTAAATCACACTAAATATACTTTTGATAAACTGCTTTTTTCCTTGCTGATTTAGTATTTTTTACTTTTGCTAAGTAGAAACAGCTTAAAATATATATTTAGTTTCACAAATATTTTAAAAAATAGTTGAATGAATGACATACTAAAATTTAATACATAGTAGTTGTTTTAAATTCCTTACAGATTTTTTTTTCCAGAGGCAGTTAATATCAGAGACTCTTTACTTATTCAGATATATCCAAATATACAGGTTGAAAGTTTTTATTAATGATGCGTAATAACATAACACATATTGAAAATGACTACCATTATTTTACCTCACAGTCTTTGGTATGAAACGTAAGGAAAAAGAAGAAAACAGTCTTTGTACCCATGGAAACGGTAAAACAAACAGGCTGACGCACCTTTTATCTATAGGAGCCTATCAATTTGACTTTTAAAATAATTATGTTCAAATAGTATTCACTGACTTCATGGGTGTCTTTTGCATTTATAACAATTTCTAATTTCTTCTCTTTTCCTTGAGCAATATGCCTTTCCAGGATCTCATTTTGGGAATTATAGATTGGAATATTCATTGCTGGACTTTTTGCCACATAATCTAATAAGATATTTTATTCCTCTTTTCAGCTCTGTTAGATAGCAACTGTAACACAATTATGACACACTTCTCTAAAAGTAAAGGTGATTGAAAATGCTAGGGTAATTAGAGGTGCTGCTGTCTTAAATATGTGAAAGTTCAATTTTATTTTCTTAAGCTGACTCTAAACATTTCTTAACATTTACTTCAGTCATGCAGACATTTCAAATGTTGATACTTTAATAGTGCTATTGATTGTTTGGAAATTCAGAAAGGATGTGCCTTTCACCAAATCATAAAATTGCAAGTGAGTGGGTTTCAGCCATCTCAAGATCACTAGATACATTCCGCCTAGCATCAATCAAAGTATACATATTCAAAAAAGACTTTTTTATTCTTTGTGGAAGTGTTGTAGTAAAAATAAGGATATGCTTACATTTTTTGTATGTTTTTATTCTTTAGCATTTCTGTTATTTTCCTTATTTTAACTGTGTTCTTTTTTCACATTCTGTTCTTATTTGTTTCTCATCATCTTTAAGAAAGAACATTTTTATAAAAGTGTGACTGAAAAATAAAGATAATTGAATTTAAGGAAAAGGAGTTTAGAAAACATGTCCAGTCTTAAGGTACCTAGTTGTAACATACACTTCTTTTTCTTTTTTTATTAAGGCTAGTATGTGCAGTAGTGAGAAGGGAGTATTTCTATAGGATGTTTATTGTAACTAAAAATTATTTTAAACAAAATTGTTTTCTTAAAGCAATCTTTAGATGTTTGGTTTGCTGAAGAATGTATTATTATTACACTGTTACACACATATGTGTATGTGCATACAAATTTATAGTATGAATCTAATGTAACAATATATAAAAAATTAATGTTACTTAAACAAAATGTAGAAATAATTAAATGACAGAGGAATTACTGTACTAGAATGAAAAATACATTATCAGGTTATAGAATTTCAATTTACATAGTATTTTCTAAATGTTGCTTCTTTTGATATCCCTTTAAAATTAGTAAGGTTGCAAATCTAGTACCCCTTTCAAAAAAGCATCATTGGAAACTTATTTTGAATTAATATAATTGATGAATTCATTCCATTTTTTCTGCATTAGGTGGTGTACTGGTTCAGGGGCTCTGAAAAGTAGTAATAATTCATCTGGCCCTCAAGATTATTACCATTACCAACAGAATTAAAGGAATAAGGGCCCCTTTTTAGAAAACTTTGATTACTTCTGATTCCCTGGAAATATTATTTTCCTGAAGAAGTGACAGTCTATAAATTAAAATTTTCTATGTTATATTTATAATAAATACTTGTATGTGTTTATACAGTTATGCTTCTTATTATGTATTAGCTCACTAAGACTATAAAAGGGGAATATAAAAATGTTTGATAAGGGTAACTTCTGTAACAGTTGAGGTCCTAATCAGTGAATTTTTCCTTTCTGGAGTTTCTGTAGAATTGCTGACACTTATCCTGTACAGAGAATTTATGAAAACAAATTCTGATCTAGTTTCAACTGGACAAAATAAATAACCTATGTTATAAGCTACTTGCTTAGTATGAATGAATGTTTATTTTTTGCTAGGACACTACATGCAAGTATTTGCATAAATTTTGCTTTTTTAATCTTAGGGGTTTTTTATGCAATTAAAATATTTAGAACTAACCTGTAAATATATTCAAATTAAATAAGTTGAAGAGTTTACCAGTTAAATTGGAAGGTTCTATTTCCTGTTATACAGACACTGAATATGGTATTTCTTTACAATTCTTTGAAAACTCAAATGCAATAATGCTATCTATTCTTGGATCCTTGGTCCAAAGCATAGCTGCTTTGGGTTTCAAGTTATATTTATCACTTCTTCTGGGGTGCTCTCCCTGATTCCACATATTAAATTTGGATAAATCTTGTGGGTTCTTCTCTAGTGTCCTGTGCTTATCTTTTGGAATTCTTATATTTTATGTTAGGCTCTGCCATGACACAGAATGTACACATAATGTTCATAGCTGGATATCTCACACTTTTTGAGTATAAAAATGATAATCATTATAACAATATTATGTATTTTTTTAGTTTATAAGCTATAACTATTACATTGAATTATGAGATTCTTCTGATTATTTGTGATAAAAGTTTAATTTAAAAATGAATGTAAGTTTAAAATATGGTAATGCTAGTTAAGTTGAGCTTAATTATGTGTTATAAACTTTATAAAACATTAAGGTTTGCATACTTTACAACATAAAGATCAATAAAAATGATGAGGATGCTGAAATAAAAGAAGTATTCCATAAATGTAGCAGTATCCATTTACATTCTTTTATGGATTACTCATATATAAAACACAGACATTGATAGATTCATATTTAAAACATAGAAATTTCGGCCAGGCGTGGTCGCTCACACCTGTAATCCCAGCACTTTGGGAGGCCGACGCAGGTAGATCACCTGAGGTCAGGAGTTCGAGATCAGCCTGATCAACATGGTGAAACCCCGTCTCTACTAAAAATACAAAAATTAGCCGGGTGTGGTGTTGAATGCCTGCAATCCCAGTTACTCAGGAGGCTGAGGCAGGAGAATCGCTTGCACCCAGGAGGCAGAGTTTCCAATGAGCTGAGATCATGCCATTGCACTCCAGTCTGGGCAAGAAAGCAAGCTCTGTCTCAAAAAATAAATAATAATGACAATAATAATAAAACAAAACATAGAAATTTGATGACCCCTAAATTCAAGAGTGGCAAATGGTCCTATGGTATGCACATCTAAAGACTAAATCCAACATGATAAACTATTCAGAAAGATTAGTATGTAAACCTATATTAGAAAAATCTGAATCTTCAATAAAATAAAGCTCTGTGAAGAGATGCTAGGGATCTGAGATCTGACATTAAGCATTTACAGCAGTAAGTGAACAAGTTGACTGACTCAAGAGAAGTAAGCACGGGATGAAGGACATATATGTTTCTGATGTAATATTAGGGATTAAAGGGTCACTCATCCCACAATCTTTTGCTTATAAGAACAAAGCATATTTCATATATCAAAGAGACATCAAGTAAGTTATTAAGTCATGTGAATATCTTTAACAATTGGGACTATCACTGTGGAGTATTATTATTGCATTGATTGTTATTATTATACATTTCAGCAATAGCAGTCTCATTTTAGATAAATTTAAAATGTAATACTTATATATATGGAACAATTTTCAGAAATGTAATTGTCAAGATTTTTTCCCTATGACCCCTGAATCTCTCTCAAATCCATCTGCTTCTTTCTAATGTCTATCTGCAGCTAGATTGTCTGGGTTTGTAGTCAGACTTCAACACTTACTATGCGACATTAAACTCTATACACTCAATTTCATTCTCTAAAATAATGATCAGAATAATGGTATCAATATCATAGGTTAGTGGTGAGTATTAAGTTAATTCATTTAAGTAAAGCTCTTAGAAGAACACCTGGCAAGTAGAAAATGGATTTGAGTGTTCATTATTATTTTCCCCATTGGCAGCACCTTGGTTTAAACTTGTAGATTTTATAAAGATTGTTCCAGATGACAAGTACTTTGGACATGCATGGCGTGCATATACACAAAAGGTTAGCAGTTGCAATTTTGAGTCTGGGATAGCATGTGTTACATCGTTTTTACTAGTAATAAGGGATTTATTTAGACTAATAAGCTTTTTGACTTATTAATGGATTCAATTTTTTGTTCAAATATATAGTGAAGAGCATATTAACAAAATCCATACACTAAATTTGTTGGTACTTTGAACATGACTTTATATCAAGTTTGGGATACACATCAAATTTTCTTGAATGCCTAAAGTTTATTCACTAAGTGCTGCTTACTTGCCAGCAGGAGAGGAACAATTTAGTCACAGAGGAACAATTTTGTCACATGTTAAGAATGACCAACTTATACAATAGAGTCACCAGTAATGACTCTATACCATCACCATGCGAGACTCACATTTATTTTTCTTATATTCCAGAGAACAAAAGCTTGATCTTTCATAACTGTATAGCAACTGTGGAAAGATAGCAGTATAAAGTGAAATGACAGGCTAATGGAGTCACCTTGACCTGGGACTCATTTGCTGGGGACATAGTTATTTAGTTGTAAGAAGTATCTTTTAGTTTAGAGGTATAATATCTCCTCTTAAGTAACTTTTGCTTTCAGCAAACCATAAGAGTAAAAAATAATCCAAAAGGTTTGGAAGCCAAGGAATATGTCAAACTGAATCCTGGAGTTAATTCCTTAGTACCCAGCTCAAAGAAAGATGCCATCGTTTCATATCTGAATTACCAGAATGACATCTTCTATTCTTGACCATATTTGACACATGAACACCTTAT
The DNA here is from genome assembly GCF_000001405.40 of Homo sapiens. NCBI lineage: Eukaryota > Metazoa > Chordata > Mammalia > Primates > Hominidae > Homo > Homo sapiens. Next base: position 109,158 of record NW_021160014.1, read on the forward strand.
TCTTTCACTTTTTCTTCCTTTTTTCCTTTAGAACTTCTGAAAAATTTCAAACCTACAAAACAACTGAAAGAATAGTACAATAGGTATTTACATTCTCTTCTGGATCCACTAATTTTTAATATTTAGTACATTCTCTCTCTCTGTCTCTCTCTCTCTCTCTCCTGATTTAGAATTTAGTTGCAGACTTAATGACACTTCTTGCCTAGGTAGTTCATCATTTGTTTTTAAGAGCTAGAGCATTCTCTTATACAACGACAATACAATTATTATGTTCTGAGAATTTATCATTGATAGAATATTGTCATCTAGTACACAGTTCCTATTCAAATTTTGCTAGTTGTCTCAATTTTTATAGCTTCATGATTTTCTTTTTCTAGATTTAATCAAGAAAAACTCTTTACATTTGGTTTTAATATTTTCACTTTCATATTATCTTATGGAAGTCAATATAATATTTTTGAAAGCTCAAATAAATTATATCATCTCCTGCAATCTTTTAATAGCCCTTAAAATGAAATACAAATCTATCCTTAGCACCTCAATGCCATTTCATTTATTATCAACTTCACATTCTTTTTCAGTTACACAGAATTAACTTACATTTCCAGAAATCACCACACCCTCTCTTATATCTATATGTGGGGATTCAGTCAGGCTGGTGGGGAAAATTTTAGTTATAAATAATAGCCACAAACCTTCTTGGAAGGCCTGAAGGTTTTTGGAGAAGTTTCGGGATAAGGTTATGGCTGAAGGCAACCTAATCCTTACCTTGACTAAATAGTTTAAAGTGGGTACAAAGGAAGGAAGAGTAGTTTATCTAACTAGCTTGTTTACTCATGGGGTCATAAAACCAACCTTTGATCACTTGCGGGTACATGATGGCTCTCTCCGGGATGGGGGCAACCACATTAATTAGCCACAAGTGTATTTACTCACAACCTTTGTCAATTAATCTTTACTGAATAAATGCTAGTCTCACTGGCAAGTCGAGGCTATGGCTGCGAACTCTGTACAGAACCTTCCTTGGCGTCTGTAAGTGGTATGGACACTTAGCTGGACTGGCAAAGCAGAATATCTGTGTGTCAGTGTACTTTGTTCATCTGTCATTGAGTCAGGGTCTGCGAGGGACAGTCCCCTGCATCTGTGGCTTCACACCCTCTCTTACCTCTATGGCTTTGTATATCATGTTTCTGCATCAAAATATTCTTGAACCTTAATTCCTCTTCATCTGGCTACCTCATCCTTGTTCTGAGAGTCACAACTAGCACATCAATGCCAATAAAACAACTTCTCTGTTGACCTCAGACTGAATTTAGTGCCCCAGTACATGCTCATGGAGCATACTACAGTAATCACCAGAAGAGGATTTAATATGTTGCTTTGTATTCACCTGTTATTTACTAGAATTCTCATTCAGATTGTTAAGTTTCTTGAAGACATAAACTATATATCTTGCTCACCACTGTATTCCTCTCATCCACTGAGTATTTTTCACATAGTTCAGTGAATGTTGAGCAATAAGACACACAAAATCATAATGCTATTTTGAATCCTTAAGCTGAGTCTGAATAGAATTATAACTGAGTGGTCTGGGTGGGTTCTAGGTTATTTCTCTGTCAGAAGCAGGCAGAAAAATGTAGCTATTACTGTTATGTGATCTCTGAGAATATTTTCACAATTTATCTTTTTTTAAATGATTATTTGTGTGATATAATTTTGTAACACAAGACTATAAAAATAAAGTTTAATAATCAGGATTTGAAGCCTTTCCCAAATCTCCCACCTATAAGAAATCTAAGTTCAGATTGAGTGATTAATCTTTAGATTTAAAACTTACCAAAGGTTAACAATTTTCAGGAAAACATGCTTATCACTAATGGTAACATAGGAACATGGAAAAAGAATGCCCAGTAACTCGCTGCTTCTCATTTGTGGTTCTTGTAAAGAAATGATTCCCTTATAAACATATTTCTTATACATTAATGATAACTACCACAGAAAACTTATAGAACTACACTGAAAGGTAAGACATTCTTTTAACTTGTACCTCTCCACTTTATATTAATAGCATTAAAATATTCACTGATTCGTAAGGCTTGAAAAATACCTTAAAACTGATCTAATAACTCTTTTACATACAGTAAAGTCTATGTGTACACCATTTCAGATACTTACTTTTCCTTTCTTATAAACAAACACAACCTTGAAGTAGACATTTTTCACTGTCATCATTCCGTCATAGACCCAGAGCTATTTCTAAGAAAAGATCTCATTTTTATAGAAACTCAGAAAATTATAACAAAAGAAAATTTTACTCTTATAAGGCTGGTCTGCAGAAAAAGGTGGAATTTCATCCCTTCAAGAATGATACAAATTAATTAAAATAGGGTTGTTCCCCACCCTCAGCAATGGAAATCTACACAGATAGAGATAGAGAAAGAGAGAAAAACTACTTTTGGGAAAACCAATATTGGCATCTACAGATTAAAGAACATCACACAGAAAAACTGCAAATTAGGTATAGCCATAAATCGATTGCCCTATAGAATTCAGAGAATCTCTGTAATTTGAAATAGGAATGAATAATGAATTGGAATAAACTGCTATTCCCAAAATAGCTCTGTATTTCCATATAATGACTCTAAACACTACCCAATCACGTCTCCCCTAAATTACTACAACAAACAAAATAAGAGATTGCATAATTCAAAGTACTCCACCAATACTGAAAACAGCAGCTATACATTCCAATTCACTTCATTGTTTTATTTATTCATTTGAGGAACTTGTAATCTAGTGTATAAGGCAAAGAAACAATTATCAAAAGTTCAAGTAGGACTGTGAACAGTGTGCTGTGGATCACAGTAAGATGGCAGAACAGAAAGTCCCAGGCCTTGACTGCCTACAAAAATATCAATTTAACTATTCTGTGTGGACCAAAATACCATTATGAGGTTTCTATAATGCAGTTAAGAAGTTGCAGTGCCACAAGGGAAAACACAGCTGAGAACAGCAACATTTCAGTGAGCAAAAAGAGTAATTTCATTTTACACACACACCTCTTTTCCCCAAGCCCTCACAACTCAGTCTCAAGAGACAACCCTCCAGCTCAATCCTTCTCCCTCAGGGAACAAGGAAAAAGAAGAGGAATGCATGCATCCAATGTTTTAGCTTTTCAGAGGGCTGCCCAAGAAAGTGAATTCTGTTTCGCTTCATTTGGGGCATTAATGGAACCAGCATGTCTTGGATGTCTGGAGACAACAGAGAACAAAGAAGAATTGGGAGAGGAGCTTGCTGTGGCTGGCACAACTCAGTGCACTCTGGAGAAAGAGCACAACTCCAGCCTTCTACCTCAGAAAGGAGGAGGAGAAGGGAAATGTGTATCCAGTGTTCTAGGTTTTTTTGGAGAGCTACTTGAGCAACTGGCATCTGTCTCACTTTACTCAGGGCATTAGGGGAAGCTGACACACTCTGAATGCATAGATGCCACTGAGAACTAGAGAAAGAAGGAGGCTTGCTGGTGTAGAATCAGGAAACTTTCACAGAGACACACCAGAGGAGCAAGAGATTATAAGCTCCTGAAAAAGAAACTGAGTAACTTTTTTTTTTTTTTTTTTTGAGACAAGAGTTTGCCCTGTTGCCCAGGCTGGAGTGCAGTGGTGTGATCATAGCTCACTGCAGCTTTGACTCCTGGGCTCAGGTAATCCTCTGTACTCAGGCTCCTGAGTAGCCAGAACTACTGGTTTGTGCCACCACACCCAGCTGATTTTTTAATTTTTTGTAGAGATGGAGTCTTGCTATGTTGCTTAGGCTGGTCTTGAACTTTTGGCCTCAAGCAGTCCTCCTGCTACAGCCTTGAAGAGTTGTTGAGATTACAGTAGTGAGTCACAGTGCACAGCCTATAAACATCTCTAATTGAGAAACTGAATGCACAGGCCTCAGAAAAGTTCTATTTCCCCCTAAAATTTTCAGAGGCCCTCAGAATCTCCAACTGGGCTAATTGGTGAGAGTCTTTCCCTATACAAAGTCAGTTCATAAAGAATAGGAGAGGTGGCTGTTTTACATTTGTGTAGATCCCAACACAAAGTTATGAGCTACACAAAGAAACAGAAAAACCTGACCCAAGAAGAGGAATAAAATAAATCTCCAGAAACAGATTATAAAGAAACAGAGGTGTATGTGTCACCTGACAAAGAATCAAAACACCTGTGATAAATATGCTCTATGACCTCGAGAAATGATGCCTGTACAAAATGTGAATATCAAAAAGAGATAGAAAATTTAAAAGAAGCCAAACAGAAATTTGGAGCTGAAGAATACAATAACCGAAGTAAAAACTTTAATAGAGAAGCTCATCAGCAGACTTATACAAGCAGAAAAAGGAATTGGCGAACTCAAATATAGGTGATTTAAAAGTATCCAATCAAAAGGAAAAGGAAAACAGAATCAAAAGAAGTGAAGAAGGCCTAAGAGACTTATAATACACCATCAAGTGCACTAATATGCACATTATGAAAATTCCAGAAGAAGAGAGAGAGAAAGGTGTGGAAAGTTTAAAGAAATGATGGGCTAAAACTTGCCAAATCTGGGGAAGTAAATGAACACCCAGATTTAAGAACCCCACTGGATGTCAACAAATAAGAATCCAAGAATATACACACCAAGACATGTCATAAGGAAACTGTAAAAAGTGTAAGACAAAGAGAGACTTTTGAAAGCAACAAGAGAAAAACGACTTACTATATGCAAGGGACCTCCATAACCTTATCAGTAGATGTCTATCAGGAGATGTCTCGGCAGAAATCTTGCAGGCCAGAAGATAATGGGATGATTTATTCAAAGTGCTGAAAAAAAAAAACAACTGCCAGCCAAGAATACTATCCAGGAAAACTATCTCTTAAAAATGAATGAAAAATAAGGACTTTACTAGAAAAACAAAGTGGGGGAAATGTATCACCACTAGACATGCCTTATGAGGAATGCTAAATGGGGCCCATACTACTTAAAGCAATTTACAGATCCAATGAAATCTATATTAAAATCTATATTAAATCTAAATTAAATCTATATTAAAATCTATATTAAAATATATTAAAATCTATATTAAAAATGGCATTTTTTACATAAATAAAAAAATTATAAAATTTATACAGAACCACAGAGAACTCTCAGTTGCCAAAACAAACTTGAGAAAGAAGAACAAAGCTGGAGGCCCCACACTTTGTGATTTCAAAATATGTTGCAAAGCTACAGTAATCATAAGAGTATGACACTGTCATAAAAAAACAGACATACAGATTAATAAAACAGAGATCTCAGATATCCACACATCTATAGTCAACTGATCTTTGACAAGAGTGCCAAGAACACATAGTGAGGCAAAGATAGTCACTTTAACTAATGGTGCTGGGAAAACTGGATATGCACATGCAAAAGAATAAAACTAGGTCTAAGTCTTACAACATACACAATAAATCACTCGAAATGCATTAAAGACTTAAGACCTAAAACTCTAAAACTCCTAAGAAAAAACACAAGAGAAAAGCTTCTTGACATTGATCTTGGAAAGGATTCTTTTTTGTTATGACACCAAAACACAAGCAACGAAAGCAAAAATAGACAAGTGGGACACCAAACTAAAAAATCTTCTGCACAGCAAAAGAAAGAATCAACAGGGTGAAAAGACAATCTACAGTATGAATGAAAATATTTGCAAAGCATGCATCTAATAAAGGGTTAATCTCCAAAATATATAAGCAACTTCTACAGTGAAAAGTAAATATTATTGTTTGATTAAAAGCTGAGCAAATGACTTGAATTAACATTTATCCAAAGAATACATACACATGGCCAACAGGTATATGAAAAGATGGTCATCATCATTAATCATCAAGGAAATGTAAATCAATCCCACAGTGAGGTACTACCTCATACCTGTTAGAATGCATTATTAAAAACAAGAACAACAACAAAAAGAAAATAGCAGGTGTTTGTAAGGATGTGGAGAAAATTGGAACCCTTGAACACGATTGGTAGGAATGTAAAATGAATCAGCTGCTATGAAAAATGGTAGAGAACACAGTGTGTAGGTTCCTCGAAAAATTATAAAGAGAATTACCATATGATCTGACAACATTAATTGTTCCCAATTCCCACTGGGAAAATGGGGAGCTGCTTTTCAGTGGATACAGTTTCAGTTATGCAAGATGAAAAAGTTCTGGAGACCTGCTGTAAAACTTTCTGCATATAGTTAACAATAGTGTACTGCACAGTTTAAAAATTATTTAAAAGGTAGGTATCTGGTTATCTGCTTTAACTACAGTAAAAATAGTTATGGAACCTCTTTTATAAACAAAAAATTACACATGTATATAAGCATTTTCAAATCTTAGGTACAATTTTAAATCAATTAAAGTGTGGAGAGAATTTTTTTAAGTGGGAAAAGAAGATGAGTGACCCTTGAAAGTTGTCCTCATTCAGACATCAAAAACAGCGTCTGAGTTTTTGTTACAATTCACTCCTGATTTTTGATCACCTTCCTTTGGGGCCAGTGGGAGGTTCAAATGATGCAATCTCTGGCCTGTATATGTAGGAACCTCATCCCAGCCCTATTCCCTCTATCTGCTATAAAACTTTAAGCCAGTGTTCTGTCCCTGTTCTCTTAAGACATTTTCAGACCAGTCCAGAAGCCTTCCCTGCTCTTCCCAGAAAGTTTTATTACTCAAATAATAAACCTTTTCATGACTTTTTGGAATATGTGTGGCAATACATCTTGATATTTAAGCCAAATCTTTTTTATTTTATTATCATTATACTTTAAGGTTTAGGGTACATGTGCACAATGTGCAGGTTAGTTACATATGTATACATGTGCCATGCTGGTGTGCTGCACCCATTAACTCGTCATTTAGCATTAGGTATATCTCCTAATGCTATCCCTCCCCACTCCCCCGACCCCACAACTGTCCCCAGAGTGTGATGTTCCCCTTCCTGTGTCCATGTGTTCTCATTGTTCAATTCCCACCTATGAGTGAGAATATGCGGTGTTTGGTTTTTAGTCCTTGCAATAGTTTACTGAGAATGATGATTTCCAATTTCATCCATGTCCCTACAAAGGACATGAACTCATCATTTTTTATGGCTGCATAGTATTCCATGGTGTATATGTGCCACATTTTCTTAATCCAGTCTATCATTGTTGGACATTTGGGTTGGTTCCAAGTCTTTGCTATTGTGAATAGTGTCACAATAAACATACGTGTGCATGTGTCTTTATAGCAGCATGATTTATAGTCCTTTGGGTGTATACCCAGTAATGGGATGGCTGGGTCAAATGGTATTTCTAGTTCTAGATCCCTGAGGAATCGCCACACTGACTTCCACAATGGTTGAACTAGTTTACAGTCCCACCAACAGTGTGAAAGTGTTGCTATTTCTCCACATCCTCTCCAGCACCTGTTGTTTCCTGACTTTTTAATGATTGCCATTCTAACTGGTGTGAGATGGTATCTCATTGTGGTTTTGATTTTCATTTCTCTGATGGCCAGTGATGATGAGCATTTTTTCATGTGTTTTTTGGCTGCATAAATGTCTCCTTTTGAGAAGTGTCTGTTCATGTCCTTCGCCCACTTTTTGATGGGGTTGTTTGTTTTTTTCTTGTAAATTTGTTGAAGTTCATTGTAGAGTCTGGAGATTAACCCTTTGTCAGATGAGTAGATTGCAAACATTGTCTCCCATTTTGTAGGTTGCCTGTTCACTCTGATGGTAGTTTCTTTTGCTGTGCAGAAGCTCTTTAGTTTAATGAGATCCCATTTGTCAATTTTGGCTTTTGTTTCCATTGCTTTTGGTGTTTTAGACATGAAGTCCTTGCCCATGCCTATGTCCTGAATGGTAATGCCTAGGTTTTCTTCTAGGGTTTTTATGGTTTTAGGTCTAACGTTTAAGTCTTTAATCCATCTTGAATTAATTTTTGTATAAGGTGTAAGGAAGGGATCCAGTTTCAGCTTTCTACATATGGCTAGCCAGTTTTCCCAGCACCATTTATTAAATAGGGAATCCTTTCATTTTAAGCCAAATCTTATACAGAGATCTATAATATTTCTGCTAAGTGAGTTTAATATGTTTCATTTATTGAACAATCAAGGGGTAAATTTTAAAAAGCATGTTTTATTTCATTTTCCATTTCTGGTTCAGTTTTAGAATAGTCTCATGATCTCTGCTTTTTTTCCCTGGATAGGTGTGGTTAGCTCTGAGCTAGGTCTGTCTATTTCTGGCACTTCCTTTTTCATTGTTTTGCTTGTTTTCATTAAGAAATGTAACAATTTTAATTTACAGAGAGTTAAAGATTCATGTAAACAACAAAGACCTGTACAGTTGCATCCTTAGGAAGTTTAGAAATAGAATTTATTAATACCAATAAATTATATTAAAAAGATCCCAAACATTCAATATGGATTCTATACTAAGGCATGACCTGTGGAAAAGTAATTTCTTAAATAAGATATGCTAACTACCTGGTGTGTTTTATGATTTCAGTTTATTCAATGTCAACATCCATGCCAGATAATCACACAGACCTTCCAACTCATGCTTTCATAAAAACTATTATCTCCAATAAATCAAGTAAAATGTAGCCAAGAAATTGTTGCAAACAACCTCTGGAATAACAGTCCCATAGAATTCCCTTGTTATCTCCTGCACCTACATAATTTGTGTTTATTATTGTGAAATGTCTTGAAACCCTAAGTATCTTCCTGTTAAAAACCTACTCCCATATTTTATTTAGAAAAAGTGGTGACTCTTAGTTATTTATGTCAATTCAACAGTCAGAAAATGTGTATCAGAAGGCTTTTTGAGAATTGTCTGTTAATTTATGTGTTTTATTATTAATAATTCTATAATTATTTTATATGTCATTAATCTCTTACCTATTAATTACCTATTATTTATTTATTATGTGAAGCTGTGAGAATACATAATTGAACACTATAAGTTTCTCAAAGCAATCAAAATAATGCGAGGGAAAGAAAAAAAGATTGATAATTGTGCCAATTACTATAATCCAGGTATAGACCCTGGCTTATAGATACACATTTTACATAATTTTAACTTTTATGAATCATTCCAGATAATTTTAAGGTGGCCATTCTATATTCTTCTTTTCTAGAATTATGAAGCCTGTCTGTAATGTGAGACAATGTTACCAATGATACATACTAAAATACCTATATTTACTTAATGAAAATAATGTATACAGATATGTTAAATATATAGACTGTATGTAAACACATTTTTTCCTAATGAGCTGACGCAATTGGGTAACCCAATCTGGGATTTAGTAGCCATTATTTCTACATGTGCCTAGAAGTTTGATGCAGCCATTTATTCATACCTTTCAACTCTGCGTCTGTTGAACTTTTTTTATCATTTCTCTTTCCCAGCACTGTCCAACATTAGTAGTAATTGGACTATTATCTTCATACTTTACCATCCTGTAGATGTGGTCACCCCCTGATGTATAGCCCTCACCAAAATTTTCTCAGTGTCTTTAGAAGGAGAAGACTTGTCTACAATTTATGATATTCACCATTTTGAGGAAAAAGGGAGAAGTATAAAATGTTGTTTAAAAAAGCCAGTATTTTAAATGCCAAGAAATAACCCTAATATAACAGTAAAACTATGAGGGTAGAATGGAATGTTAGGCATTTTTAAAGAGAGAGTGAACATTTGTATTCGCAAAAATGAGTGGAAAGATACAAGATCAGACAAGGGTGATCTCTGAGGTGAAGTGGGAAATAGGGATGAGAATATTGTCTTTGCATATAACTTAATGAGTAGAAAACCTGGGTTAATATTATATTTTTGTAGAGAAGCCTAGATTAATGGAACAGACATGAGTCAATACATAGTGGTAAATGAACACATTATTTTTTGGCTTATTTTAAAAATTTCTGCCTTTGCATTTGAATCACACTCATAGATTCCCTAAAGTCAAATAATTTTTGGCTAAACTGATAAAATTTTGAATATATAAAATTTAAGGCCAAGCTGCTGGATATTGTGATCCACCCAAATATCCAGGCATATTAGGAGACCCTTCATGCACATCTATCAACCACTGACTGACTTTCCTCTACTTCTCTGCTTTGTATATGTTAGTTGACTTTATCTTTACAATGGCTTTGAAATAGGGATTTTTACTCTCACTTCTCAAAAGAGCAAGCCTGTTAAGAGAAGTTGACTAAATATTCATACATACCAGATCAGTGTTAATTCAAAGCTGGAGGACATTCATTTGCACTATGTTGTCTGTCCTCCATTCAAAATTCCTAAGCCTGCACTGTGGAAGAGATGTTGAAGTTCTGCAGTATCAGTTAATGCTATCACAAAGCCAAGAATTTTGGAAAGTTAATTTAAAAAAATTTTTGTCTGAATGTAAGTATATACACAATAATTCCAAAATTCATCAAATATCCTTTACTTAGTGACTAGTGAGAATAAGAAACCTAAATTAACATATTTTTGTTTTGCTTAAACATAAATTTAAAACAGTTGTACATTTCTTACTTCTTTTTATATTTTATTGTTTTCCAAGTGAAATGAACCCAGGTTATTAACATAATAGAATACAGCTGACCCTTCGACAATGCAGGTTTTAGAGACACTGACCCCTGTGCAGTTGAAAATCTGTGTATAACTTTTGACTCCCTCAAAACTTAACCATAGTAGCATAATATTGACCGGAAGCCTTACTAATAACATAATTAAAATATATTTTGTAAGTTATATGCATTATATACAATATTCTTACAATAAAGTAAGAGAAAATGTTATTAAGAAAAGTATTAAAAAGAGAAAATGCATTTAATATTTAATAAGTGAAAGTGGACCATCATAAAGGTCATCTTTGTCATCTTTACATTAAGTAGACTGAGGAGGAGACTGAGGAGGACAGGTTGGTCTTGGTGACTTTAGGGATGATGGGGTGGAAGAAACTCCAGGTATAAGTGAATTATTCCAGTTCAAACCCATGTTGTTCAAGGGTTGACTATGATATAACAATAATAAAAATTATTATTACAGGCCAGGCATGGTGGCTTATGCCTGTAATCCCAGCACTTTAGGAGGCCGAGGCGGGCAGATCACGAGGTCAGGAGATAGAGACCATCCTGGCTAACACGATGAAACCCCATCTCTACTAAAAATACAAAAAATTAGCCGGGTGTGGTGGCAGGTGCCTATACTCCCAGCTACTTGGGAGGCTGAGGCAGGAGAATGGCATGAACCCGGGAGATGGAGCTTGCAGTAAGCCGGGATCGCTCCACTGCACCCCAGCCTGGGTGACAGAGTGAGACTCTCTCTCTCAAAAAAAAAAAAAGTACTGTTACAACGACAATACAGGCTTCACTTTATTATTGTTTGTCCTACATTTCTCATTAGCTACATGTATATGAAGAACAGAAGCAGCAATGGTCAAAAAGTTTACAGAACTTTTCTTAAACTTTTCTTAAAAGTTTACAGAAACATTACACACATTGATTAAAAAGTGAGCAACCAGTTAATTTATGAGTTTATATTTTTTCCTAATTTTTAATCTTTGCCTATATGTAGCAGGGGAGTTATTAAATAATATTTTCCTGATGTATCATTTATGAAAAATCATTTATAAGAACCAAACACTTCAAAAAATTAGTGTAATTGCTTCAGGTAAATCTGCAAATAAACTCTTAGCAAAGTGTTAAAAAATCTGAAAATATATTCAGAGTAGTGAGATATTTTCTTCTTAAACATACAAGATACATGCTACAGATTTATGTTGTCATCTTCTGAAGTTCTAAATAAAAATGAATTAGTAGCTATGATAATTATCTTATTTGCTAAAATAATTGTTAGATTAATAGCCAAATGTTTCTTTTATTTTTAAAATATATTAGCAATAACACAAATGATGCACTTATTTTCCATATAATTTTAAATTAATTTTATTTAATGATGATTCTGTTTATTATATTCACACCTAGTACACTAAATATCATATTATTTGAAAACTACATTAGTATTTCACTCGCATGCTAAAATATAATAAATTATTCTATGAAACAAAGTGTGTAAATTTTCATCTTCTTGTAGACAAAAGTAGACAAATTTATCAGTCTTGCACATGTGATAGAATGTTTGCTAATTTATCCTACTTTAGTGGTTCAACAGTTGACATTATCTCCCCCACTCACCCACCACATACTACCGTCCATTCACTAAAAATTAACATGAATTTGAAATTATAAAAATGCTTTTATGCCTACAGTTTTGATTTGAGGCATTTCTATTAGCTAGAAAATGTGTTAATAGCTTATCTTTTGCTAACATCCTTCTTTAGATTAAATCTCAGAGAAGGCTCGAGGACAGAGGGGTCCCCAGATTCTACCTGAATTACAGGAATCCCTGACTTCCCTGAGCATAGATGAACTATCATGGTATACAGTAACTACCCAAATACAGAGTATATCTATCATGTTCTGGTTGGATGTTTTTTCAAATACCAATTATTATAAGGGTAAAGGCGGCATGTTTGTTGGTAGAATTTCCAGAGCACAGAAATGAAACAGACTTCTAAGACAGTGGTTTATAAAGTGCAGTCCACAGACCAGTAGTGGCAGCATCACTTGGGAACTTGTTAGAAATGAAAAATTTCAATTTCCATTCCAGATCTATAAAATCAAAAACTCTGAGGTTGGGGTTCAACAGTCTATGTTTTTAGCAGACTGTCAAGTCATTCTAATGCATTGTAAAGAACCACCTCTTTACAATGAAGGTAAGTGGTCACTCTTAAATAGATAGAACTTAGGTAAGAAGAGAGCATAGGAGGGGAAAGAAAAGTAAGCCCAATTCCTTTAAAAAGTACTTACGTATTTAGTAAGTTGTTATTTTCCACTGTGGTTAGTATGTGGCTGGAGTTTTTCCAGTCTAGAAATTTTCTGAGAGAGGTTAGAGAGGACAGAGAAAAGAAGGATAAAGCAGTTTTGCAGTCTTTAATTTGAAACATTTAAGGAAGACTAACCCGGTTATTTCATCTGAAAAACTTTTTTAAAATCTACTTCCTTGAGTTGGAAAAATAGAAAATAGCTTAAATAAATATTATTATAATTAAAAATAAAGAAAAATGAAATTGGGAAATAATGTAAGTTTTCTTTGGTACAACCTCTAATTTACTTTGATTTCTTTTTCATAATTTATAAGCCAGTGGAAAATGAAGTAACCATTTCAATCAAAGTTGTGATTGAACATCCAACAACTGTAAGATAAAAGGTGGAAATGAAAAGAATGATATTTAACTGGTGAAATTGCTCCCTGGGGGTGCCTGCACTTTGATCATTAATCTTAATTGGATGGGTCAGTGACCAGAATGGCAAGGCTGTTTCAGATCACAACACAACTTTGTAATCTGTAACCATGAAGAAAGTTGTTACAGATTTATACTATTAGCCACTGTTCTTTCCATGATGTCAATCAATGACATTGGGATATTTACTGAAGGTTTAGCTAAATTGAAGTTGCTAATAAAATGTGCACATAAAGGAACATATTTCAGAGTCTGAAAATATAAAGGAATGTATTTCAGAGACTGGAAGCTTACAAAGTCCAAGAGAATAATGTTATTGTAATAAAGTTAAACAGCTATTATAAGTTTTAGGCTGCAATTTTTACATAGTAGAGAACCTTACATTTTAGTAGTGAAACTTTTATTGTAACAAATTGTTAGTTGAATTATTTTTAAACTAAGCAGAACATGCTATAAACTTTCTTAAATGACAGAATCATATTTTGAACATGAGTCAGTATGATATCTTATACTGGATAATTGAGATGCGTTTTCAAATAGTTCAGATAAATTATTTCTTGTATCAGTTCTTAATGACCCTATTTTATCACCATGTGCACTTTCACATACCTTTAGAGTTAAACATAACCAAGGTGATGTAACAAGAGATACTAAACTTTGGTCAAGAGCGCAAGCCTTGGCACCACACTGCCTAGTTTTGATTCTGAAGTTGGATAGTTGTGGAGCGTTGGCAAGTTATTCATCCTTTTAGTCTGGATTTTTGCTTTGAATATAATAGTTATGATAATGGTATCTACATCATGGTATTGTTCTGAGTATTACACGTGTGTTTATATTAATGTTGACTATTCTTGTGTATGCCTTTTGTTAACTTTACAAATTATGAAAACATCTTTCTCATAAATAAGTTTTTCACTCTTCAAAGAGGCATTTATTTATTTGCATTTTACGCCCTTTAGCAATATTAACTCTGATTGCTGCATTACCATACCAATGGTTATTTGGTGTTAGTTAAGCATATAAGTCCCTCATGTCTTCACTCTCTTTGTGTTTTATGGGATAGGTTACACACATACATAAAAGGTAGTGTAGTCCCAGAAAGTAAATGACATTCTCTTAAGAACAATATGTCAGGAAAAACTTTGATATGAAGACCGATATCCTCCATCTCCATTCATTTTGTTTGTTTGTTTGTTTCTTTGAGACAGAGTCTCACTCATTTGCCCAGGCTGGAGTGCAGTGGCATGATCTCAGCTCACTGCAACTTCCACCTCCCAAGTTCAAGCGATTCTCATGTCTCATCCTCCGGAGTAGCTGGGATTACAGGCATGCACCACCACACCTGTCTACTTTTTGTATTTTTAGTAGAGATGGTGTTTCACCATGTTGCCCAGGCTGGTCTCGAACTTGTGAGCTCAAGCAATCTGCCACGTCAGCCTCCCAAAGTGCTGAGATTATAGGCATGAGCCACCACACTGAGCCCAATATCCTCTATTCTTAAGGCTGTCGCCAGGGTCAGAAGTGTAAGACTAAGAAACTCATTAAAATTCAGCCATCCTGGTCCCCCAGACATATTGTGAAAAATTTTAGTGTGTGTGTGTGTTTGTGTATGTCTAAGTGTGTGTGCAAACTGTATCAGCTGTGTGACCAAAGAACTGAAAAATGGGAATCCAGACTTCTGGTCCTGTTGTTGGGATTATAACGGAAGCAGAAACGGAAAATTTTGAATGGATTTCTTGATGCTGCCAAGCGGGCAATTCCTGCGGATACATCAGTCAGGATTGAGTGAGTTCTAATGTATCCCACGGTTACGGATTCCTTCAGATTTTGGTGCAGATAGCTATGTATGGTATTCCTAACCTTAACACCTAAAATAATGAACAAATGGTAACCTCTTAACAATATGCACCCATTTTTCCTAGTTCACTTTAATATTTTGGACATGGTATATATTAAGCAGTTCGAACTATTATAACTTGTCATACCATAGACTCGGTGGCTTAAACAGTAGACATTTATTTCTCACAGTTCTTGTGGCTGGGAAAGTCTGAAATCAGGGTACCAGCATGTCTTCTGGTGAAGCCTCTCTTCCGGGCTCATCTTTTTTTTTTTTTTTTTTTTTTTTGGAGACAGAGTCTCGCACTGTCACCCAGGCTGGAGTGCAGTGGCGTGATCTCCACTCACTGCAAGCTCCATTTCCCGGGTTCACGCCATTCTCCTGCCTCAGCCTCTCCAAGTAGCTGGGACTACAGGCGCCCACCACCATGCTCCGGGCTCATCTTCTTGCTGTGCCCTCACATGGTGAAAAGAGAGAGAGATGGCATTGAATCTACAAATTACCTTGGGCAGTATGGCCATTTTCACGATATTGATTCCTCCTACCCATGAGCATGGAATGTTCTTCCATTTGTTTGTATCCTCTTTTATTTCATTGAGCAGTGGTTTGTAGTTCTCCTTGAAGAGGTCCTTCACATCCCTTGTAAGTTGGATTCCTAGGTATTTTATTCTCTTTGAAGCAATTGTGAATGGGAGTTCACTCATGATTTGGCTCTCTGTTTGTCTGTTATTGGTGTATAAGAATGCTTGTGATTTTCGTACATTGATTTTGTATCCTGAGACTTTGCTGAAGTTGCTTATCAGCTTAAGGAGATTTTGGGCTGAGACAATCCCCATCAAGCTACCAATGACTTTCTTCACAAAATTGGAAAAACTACTTTAAACTTCATATGGAACCAAAAAAGAGCCCACATTGCCAAGTCAATCCTAAGCCAAAAGAACAAAGCTGGAGGCATCATGCTACCTGACTTCAAACTATACTACAAGACTACAGTAACCAAAACAGCATGGTACTGGTACCAAAACAGAGATATAGATCAATGGAACAGAACAGAGCCCTCAGAAATAACGCCACATATCTACAACTATCTGTTCTTTGACAAACCTGAGAAAAACAAGCAATGGGGAAAGGATTCCCTATTTAATAAATGGTGCTGGGAAAACTGGCTAGCCATATGTAGAAAGCTGAAACTGGATCCCTTCCTTACACCTTATACAAAAATTAACTCAAGATGGATTAAAGACTTACATGTTAGACCTAAAACCATAAAAACCCTAGAAGAAAACCTAGGCATTACCATTCAGGACATAGGCATGGGCAAGGGCTTCATGTCTAAAACACCAAAAGCAATGGCAACAAAAGCCAAAATTGACAAATGGGATCTCATTAAACTAAAGAGCTTCTGCACAGTGAAAGAAACTACCATCAGAGTGAACAGGCAACCTACAAAATGGGAGAAAATTTTCGCAACCTACTCATCTGACAAAGGGCTAATATCCAGAATCTACAATGAACTCAAACAAATTTACAAGAAAAAAAACAAACAACCCCATCAAAAAGTGGGTGAAGGACATGAACAGACACTTCTCAAAAGAAGATATTTATGCAGCCAAAAAACACATGAAAAAATGCTCACCATCACCAGCCATCAGAGAAATGCAAATCAAAACCACAATGAGATACCATCTCACACCATTTAGAATGGCAATCATTAAAAAGTCAGAAAACAACAGGTGCTGGACAGGATGTGGAGAAATAGCAACACTTTTACACTGTTGGTGGGACTGTAAACTAGTTCAACCATTGTGGAAGACAGTGTGGCGATACCTCGGGGATCTAGAACTAGAAATACCATTTGACCCAGCCATCCCATTACTGGGTATATACCCAAAGGACTATAAATCATGCTGCTATAAAGACACATGCACACGTATGTTTGTTGCAGCACTATTCACAATAGCAAAGACTTGGAAGCAAGCCAAATGTCCAACAATGATAGACTGGATTAAGAAAATGTGGCACATATATACCATGGAATACTATGCAGCCATAAAAAATGATGAGTTCATGTCCTTTGTAGGGACATGGATGAAATTGGAAATCATCATTCTCAGTAAACTATCGCAAGGACAAAAAACCAAACACTGCATGTTCTCACTCATAGGTGGGAATTGAACAATGAGAACACATGGACACAGGAAGGGGAACATCACACTCCGGGGACTGTTGTGGGGTGGGGCGAGTCGGGAGGGATAGCATTAGGAGATATACCTAATGCTAAATGACGAGTTAATGGGTGCAGCACACCAGCATGGCACATGTATACATATGTAACTAACCTGCACATTGCATGCATGTATCCTAAAACTTAAAGTATAATAATAATAAATAAAAAAAAAGAAAAGAGAGAAAGAGAGTGAGAGATATTTCTCATGTCTCGTCTTATAAAAGCACTAATCCCATCATGAAGGCTCCATCTTCATGACCTCATCTAAACCTTGTCTCCCCCAAAGCTGCTACTTTCAAAAATTATCACATTAGTGGCTAAGGCCTCAGCATATGAATTTTATAGGAACACAATTCAGCCCAATGAGGGGTATCATGAGGACTACTTCCAAAATTTAAGATTTAATGCTATACAAAATGTGACTTTATACTTTTTAATCATTATATATCGATTATTATATCAGGCAACTAGTTTTCCAAGCTCTCCCTAACCCTGTAGAGAGTATCAGCTTATTCATCATAAAGAGGATAGGGGACAAAGGAAACAATGTCAGTGCCTGCTAAACAACGTCGGCTAGATCTACAATCGACTAATTTAGAAAGAATTTTCAGAATATGTTATTGAAAAACAAAATACAAATGAAGTATATAATGAGCATTGCTTGTTTACTTGTTTGTTTTATGAAATAAGACCTAAAGAAAATCATGAGTTTGTGTTTCCATTTGTTTTTGAATTTGATTATATGAGATGAAATATTATGAAAGAATGAACAGCAGGTTATTAATATTGATTACCTGTTAAGTAATCAATATTAGACAAGTGGTTTAAGCAGAAGGGAAGTAAAGAATAAGCAACAGAAAAATAAAAAGAAAGCAATATTTGCATATCAAATTTTGAGGATGTTCATAGGTAGAAACCAAAAACAACACAAGTAAGACATGAGCAACAAAGACAATGAAGTAATAAATAGACATTCTTATTCATAATGAGTGAAACAAATCCAGGTTGGAACACACAACACAGAAACCTGATACTATATGATGGTACCAGGACTATTCCTTTAGCCTCACTTTCAAAGAGGAATCATCATTTCCTCATGAGAGGAAACAGGGTCTAATAACAGGAAATATTGTATAATGCTTATATCTGCATGTAAGCATGTGTGATAAGTACAGTTTAAAAGTTTACTAATAGTCTGTCTTATTCTAAAAAGATTTAAAGTGATTTATCAAAAAGGTATACGATAAAGCAGGACAATTTAACATAAAAATGTAGTAGCAATAAGACAGTGGAAAATTTGAAGAAAAAATGGATTATGGGAGAGATTAGTGGATAAAATGCATACTATGAGATCTTTTAATGCTTTGTAATATTGGATCATAAATTTGATTCTAAACTCTCTGGCATCAAAATTCCCCCATGAGAGCTGTGAGGGAAGCCCTGTTGATCAAGTATAGCTGAGTTTACTAATCTTACTGCAGTAAGGAAGAACACCACCTTAACAGAACCTTAGTAGTGTCTCAGAAGGAAAACATTAGGGACAGGTATGTGTAGGAGTTTTGAAAATGGGGATAGGTAATTTTTGAGATGAGTGTTGCATGTGAGACTGCCTTGTACTTGGTTTAGCACTCTCTTTTTTTTCCATTTTTAAATTCTTAATTTATCTATCTTTGAACTTGTACTTTCTAAGTGAAGTGTAATGAGAGATGAGCACATTTGTGAGCAGAAAAGGTATACACAGTGTGTATATCTAGCTTCGTTGCAACTCCACTTGCAGAGATGTTCATGATGCCCTGTGAGTAAAGAATTCGTGTTGTATTAGTTCGTTTTCATGCTGCTGATAAAAACATACCCGAAACTGGAACAAAAAGAGGTTTAATGGACTTATAGTTCCACAAGGCTGGGGAGCACTCATAATCATGGCAGGAGGTGAAAGGCACTTCTTATATGGCAGCAGCAAGAGAAAAACAAGGAAGAAGCAAAAGCAGAAACCCCTGATAAACCTATCAGATCTCGTGAGATTTATTCACTATCACCGGAATAGCTCGGGAAAGACCAGTCACAATGATTCAGTTACCTCCACCTGGGTGCCTCCCACAACACGTGGGAATTCTGGGAGATACAATTCAAGTTGAGATTTGAGTGGGGACACGGCCAAACCATATCATTCTGCCCCTGGCCCTTCCAAATTTCATGTCCTCACATTTAAATTCCAATCGTGCCTTCCCAACAGTACCCCAAAGTCTTAACTCATTTCAGCGTTAACTCCAAAGTCCACAGTCCAAAGTCGCATCTGAGACAAGCCAAGTCCCTTCCACTTATGAGCCTGTACAATCAAAAGTCAGATAGTTACTTCCTAGGTACAATGCGGGTACAGGTATTGGGTAAGTACAGCCTTTCCAAATGGGAGCAATTGGCCAAAACAAAGGGGTTACAGAACCCATGCAAGTGCAAAATCCTGGAGAAGTCAAATCTTAAGGCTCCAAAAATGATCTCCTTTGACTCCAGGTTCACCTCCAGGTCATGCTGATGCAAGGGATGGGTTTCCATGGTCTTGGGCAGCTCCGCCCCTGTGGCTTTGCAGGGTGCAGCCTCCCTCCTGTCTGCTTTCACGGGCTGGCATTGAGTGTCTGCAGCTTTTCCAGGTGAACGGTGCAAGCTGTCTGTTGATCTACCATTCTGGGTTCTGGAGTACAGTGACCGTCTTCTCACAGTTCCACTAGGCAGTGCCCCAGTAGGGACTCTGGATGGGGGTTTTAACCCCACATATCCCTTCCGCATTGCCCTAGCAGAGATTTTCCACAAGGGCCTGCCCCTGCAGCAAACTTTTGCCTGGGTATCTAGGCATTTCCGTACATCTTCTGAAATCTAGTTTGAAGTTCCCAAATCTCAATGCTTGACTTCTGTGCACCCACAGGCTTAACATCACCTGAAGCTGCCAAGGCTTGGGGCTTCCACTTTCTGAAGCCACAGCCCAAGCTGTACCTTGGCCCTTTTCAGCAATGGCTGGAGCAGCTGGGACACAGGGCACCAAATCCCTAGGCTGCACACAGCGCAGAAACCCTGGGCCTGCCCAGGAAACCACTTTTTTCTGCTGTACTTCTGGGCCTGTGATGGGAGGGGCTGCTGTGAAGGTCTCTGCCATGGTCTCGAAACATTTCCCCATTGTCTTGGGAATTAACATTAGGTTCCTTGCTACTTATGCAAATTTCTGCAGCCAGCTTGAATTTCTCCTCAAAAAAAAAAAAGAGAGAAAGAAAAAGGGTTTTTCTTTTCTACTGCATCATCAGGCTGCAAATTTTCTGATTTTTTATGCTCTGTTTCCCTTTTAAAATGCAATGCTTTCAGCAGCACCCAATTCACCTTTTGAATGCTTTGCTGCTTAGAAATTTCTTCCACCAAATACTCTACATCATGTCTCTCAAGCTCAAAGTTCCAAAAATCTCTAGGGCAGGGGCAAAATGCTGCTAGTCCCTTTGCAACATAAGTCACCTTTGCTCCAGTTCCCAACAAGTTTCTCATCTCCATCTGACACCAGTTCATATCACTATCAGCGTTTTTGTCAAAGCCATTCAATAAGTCCCTAGGAGGTTCCAAACTTTCCCACATTTTCCTGTCTTCTGAGCCCTCCAAACTGTTCCAACCTCTGCCTGTTACCCAGTTCCAAAGTTGCTTCTACATTTTTGGATATCTTTTCAGCAACGCCCCACTCTTCTGGTACCAATTTACTGTATTGGTTTGTTTTCACACTGCTGATAAAGACATACCTGAAACTGGGAACAAAAAGAGGTTTAATTGGACTTATAGTTCCACATGGCTGGGGAGGCCTCAGAATCATAGCGGGAGGCAAAAGGCACTTCTTACATGGTTGTGGCAAGAGAAAAATGAGGAAGAAGCAAAAGCGGAGATCCTTGATAAACCCATCAGATCTCATGAGACTTATTTATTCACTATCATGAGAATAGCATGAGAAAGACCAGACCCCATGATTCAATTACCTGTGAATCCACAATGCCTGGAGTTCAGCAAAAAAGCAAGACAAAGCAAGCACATATTGTTTTACGCCTACAACTGGGTAAGCAGGGATATTGACAGCTTCAATAGGCAACACTTTTGTTCAACCAGAACTTATTTAAAATGCAGAAGAAGAAGGAAATTGTATTTCAAAAAACATAAACAATGAAAGAAACCTATATCCATATATGTCTATATATATCCACATAGGTTCTATATACGCAGTTATATCTATAGACCCATCACATCTATATATCCATCAAAGAAATCCATATTCATTCTTACTCCTATTATTTCTAAGTATCAACCAACTTCTTATGCTAAGAGGGAAAGATAGGGCAGCACATAGTTCCTTTTTTTTTCAGTTTTCCTTACTCATCAGTAAGCTAAAGGTAGAAAGTATTGGTAGAATGTTTGCTCATGAAAGTGAAATAAAAATGTTTAGTTTTATGCAGTATTTTTCTATTCTGGTAAGAACGGTGTACAGATGAATATTTGAGCTGCAAAACTTAAATTGTGCATTTTGGTGATTCCACATAACAGTTAAGTGTCTTTAAAACTGACATTTCACAATATAAAAGTGAATGGAAAAAATCATGCTAATGACTTAAAAGTTTAATGTTTTAATGAAAAGCATTATTAAATAGCAAATAAAAAATACCATGGCATGTTAACAGATAGACAATGAAAGAAATAGAAAAATGCTGTATTTAGTATTTTTAATGTCATCTTGTCCTCACTTTTTGAAGAACGGGCCCCAAATTTCATTTTACACTGAGCTCTGCAAATTATATATTTGACCCTGGTTTCGGAGTCATAAATGTGTAGGGATCTGTCAGAGTTTATGACATGAAAGTTTTGAATTGGTGGTAACATTAAAGTAAGGGTCTTGAAGTATGTCTTGATGAGAAAGCTGTTCATCAAAACAGTCAGAAAAAGCAAGCTGTTAGGCTTGAAATGTGAGCCAGTTTAGTTGGTTCTTAGTTCTATTTTTCTGGTACACATATTTCCTGAAATGAAGCAAGCAGCTAAGGTATTTTTTTACTTTCTCACTATTGATGAACATAAGGATAGAAAACTATATTCCTTTAAATTCCTAATGATAATTTAGAGGGAAATGAAAATTTACAGGTTTTGCAGTGAGCATCCACAAAACAAAAATTTCTCTTTTGTGAATGTCTACTTTTACCCAGCAATAGTAATTTGAACACATGTACTCTCCATTTGTTTTTTCTGAAACCAGATCATATTCAATTATCAAGCCATCTGTAAATGTTGGGGGCATTTTTTCAGTATTATATCAGAGGACTCAACTTACAGTAAGCTGAAAGATAGAGGAAAAGTATAGAAAACATATGTAGGCTACCTTTCTGAGACTAACAGTGAAAAGATAGAAGGAAGCTAAATATTGGGGAGAAAGAAATAATCATTGAAAGAGAGGATTTCTAACAACTTAGGCCATGGTATTCAGTGGGTCTGCTCATCGATCCTTAACTTTCTAATGGTAAAGGAAATGTAAAAGGAGACAGTGCAATACAGTCGTCTTTTGGGCACTATTTTTAAGTTTATTAATAGATGCTCAAGAGAAATGCTTCTTTGAATTTTCTGCTGCTGTTGTGGAAAACATTGTGTCAATCATTATATGTGTTTCTTTATGCCAATATGCAATGTTTTCTTGATTATTACTGGATTCAGAAATTTCCTGAAGGCCTTAAGGCCCAGAAGTTTATTTTATATTTATTTGTGCCATTAATAGTGCTCTACATTCATTGGGGAAAAATACTGCAAGATGTTCCTACTGAAAAGAGGACAATTTTAATTACTTTTTATATGTGATGTTTATGAAGTTACAGTAAACACATATTTCTTCCTCCTGTTAATATTTGGGCATTTTCTAGGGTTAAACTAGAGCAGAGAGTGAATCAGTCTTCCAGAAAATCAGACAGTGGCAGACTAACTCAGTTATGCACATTAGTCAAATATGTGAAGAACTAAAAGAGATTATACAGTGTTTACATGAAATTATGCACTAGAGCTGTATATATAATTAAAGAGATTACTTCAATATAGATGAGTGCATGTGATCTTCCTTTTGATTATCTCTGCATGAAATTTTTCTAAAAATCCGTGTTTTATTGAGAAACATGAAGAATTTTACATCACACATGTTCTTTATATACTAGTGATTATACAAATAGCAAAGGAGAAAAATTGTGGTCAAATATTTCTCCCATAAATAATCATTAATTCCATTACATTATCATTCATGCTTCTTGTGTCCTGTGTCTTTATTTTTTTTAAATAAGCAGATACATGCAGTAGAATGAATATGTGTGTATATGTATGTGTGTGTTTGCGTGTGTGTATACATACATAGATCCATCCATACATACATGCATGTGTCCATATTGCGTGGATATACAACAGGTTATTCAAGCAATATTCTCTATTGACATTACTTTGGTTTTCATTTTGTTTTGCTCTGAAAACATGATACCACATTAATTAACTTTATGCTGATTTCTTTCTTTTCATATTATTGGAATTTTATCTTCAAAGTAAATTCTTCTGTGCTAGGGTCATATTAAGTCTCTACATGCAATTCAACACCAAATGTTTTGTGATAATTTTGCTGTTTTGCCACAATTCAGATTAAACAACAAACATTAAAATTAGACTTACAAGTAATTCACATAATGGAATTGAAGGAGTGAAGACCCAAACAATTATCCTTGAAATTTAACAGAAGATATTTAAGAAGCTTAAGAATAGAAAAAGATATAATAAAGGTAAGACAATTTAAAAAAAAAAAGACAAAGAGCACTTAAAAATAAATGTTTAATAAAAATCAAAACTTGGTTGATGAGTTACATTACAGATTAGACAGATTTGAAAAAGTTGTGAGGAAACTAACTGGAAGACAGTCTTAAATAAATTAAGCAAACTTAATACATAGAGGCATAGAGACAAGAAATAAAAATAAGAGTCGAAAATACATGGAAAATGAAATAAGATTTAACATGTACCTAAATATATTTCAAGATGGAGAAAGTAGATAAAGAGTTAATATTTGAAGAGATAATGGTTAAGAAATGTTAAGAACTGATGAAAAAATGATTTACAGTAGAATGAATAATAATAATATATATCTTGATATTTTGTGGCCAAATACTGAATACTTAAGAAGAGACGCTTAAAAGCTGTCAAGGGAAAGATAGTTTATCAACAAAGGCATAATGATTAGACTTCTCAACAGTCAGAATAAAGAAAAAAATAGGCCAGGTGTGGTGGCTCACACCTGCAATCCCAGCTCTTTGGGAGGACTAGGAGGATCACTTAAACCCAGGAGTTGGAGACAAGCCTGGCAATGTAGTGAGACCTCATCTCTACAAAAAGTTAATTAGCCAAGCGTGATGAGTAATGCCTATAGTCTAAGCTACCTGGAAGGCTGAGTTGGGAGGATTGGTTGAGCCTGGGAGGTCCAGGGTTCAATGATCCAAAATTGCACCAGGGCACTCCAGCCTGGGCGACACAGCAAGACACTGTCTTGAAAAAAGAGAAAAAATGTAAGACATTGAAATAGAGTCTTTTAAAAAATAATTTCAACTTTTATCTTAGAATCTTTTAAATACAAGAAAAATATCTATAAACCTTGAATTTTAAATTGAACTAAGCTATCATTCAAAAGTAAAAGCTAAATAATTTTATAGGCAACAGAAACTTAAGAGAGTTTATCACCTAGTTACTTTCACTGAGGGAATTTTGAAATGCTGTACTTCATAAAGAAGGAAATACCTAGGAAGTAGGACTGAAATTTCAGGAATAGTGGGGGAAACTTGCCAAATATCTAGGTGTAGTTAAAGGGACATTGACTCTCTGTAAAAAAAAAATATATATATATATATATGAAATTATGACTAATTTGAAACGTAAAAAAACAAAATGAGACCAAATTTCTAAATAATATGTCAGAGAAAACTAATCAGAATGAGGCTTAAGATGCTGGGTTCTGGTTCTCTTTAATAAGAATGGACCAGCCTGGGAAACATGGCAAAACATCATCTCAACAACAACAACAAAAATACAAAAAAAAATTAGCTAAGCATGGTGGCATGCACCTGTGGTCCCAGGTACCCAGGAGGCTGAGGTAGGAGGAGGATGAATTGAGCCTGGGGGTTCAAAGCTACAGAGAACAGTAATTACGCCACTGCACACCAGCCTGGGTGACAGAGTGAAACGCTGTATCCAAAAAAAAAAAAAAAAAAAAGAATGGCAGGATTAAGGATTAAGTGTAGACCTTTTAGAAACAAGTACACATGTAAATACATTAAGAGTAATGCATAAAGTAGTAGAAATAAAAATTTTAAAGCAATCAAAGACAAAGGAAAGGAAGACTGAAATAATTTGACTATTCCAACTGAAGACAGGAAAGCAACGGCAAAGCAAAATAAATAGAAACCAGTATAAAAAAAGCAAGACAAAGCAAAATAAATAGAAAGTATAAAGTTGTTAGTCACTGACTAAAAGTAACTAATTTAGCATTTTATGAAACTACTATTTCAGGAGGTGGCTGGCAAGATGGCTAAAGATGAACAGCTCCAGTCTGCAGCTCCCAGTGAGATCAATGCAGAAGGTGGGTGATTTCTGCATTTGCAACTGAGGTACCTGGTTCATCTCACTGGGACTGGTCAGAGTGTGTGTGCGGCCCACGGAGGGTGAGCAGAAGCAGGGTGGGGCATCGCCTCACCCAGGAAGCGCAAGGGGTCTGGGAACTCCCTCCCCTAGCCAAGAGAAGCCATGACAGACTGTGCTGTGAGGAACCATGCACTCCGGCCCAGACACTATGCTTTTCCCACAGTCTTTGCAACCCTCAGACCAGGAGATTCTCTAGGGTACCTACACAACCAGGACCCTGGGTTTCAAGCACAAAACTGGGTGGCCATTTGGTCAGATACCAAGCTAGCTGCAGAAGTTGTTTTTTTCATACCACAGTGGCGCCTGGAACGCTATCAAGACAGAACCATTCACTCCCCTGGGAAGGGGGCTGAAGCCAGGGAGACAAGTGGTCTAACTCAGTGGATCCCACCCCCAGGGCGCCCAGCAAGCTAAGATCCACTGGCTTGAAGTTCTTGCTGCCAGCACAGCAGTCTGAAGTTGACCTGGGATGCTCGAGCTTGGCACGGGGAGGGGCGTCCACCATTACTGAGGCTTCAGTAGGTGGTTTTCCCCTCGCAGCCTAAACAAAACCCCAGGGGAGTTCGAACTGGGCAGAGCACATCACAGCTCACCAAAGCCGCTGTAGCCAGCCTGCCTCTCTAGATTCCCCCTCTCTGGGCAGGGCATCCATGAAAGAAAGGCAGCAGCCCCAGTCAGGGGCTTATAGATAAAACTCCCAACTCCCTGGGATAGAGCACCTGGGGGAAGGGCAGCTGTGGGCACAGCTATAGCAGACTTAAACGTTCCTGCCGGCCAGCTCTGAAGAGAGCAGCAGATCTCTCAGGACAGCACTCAAGCTCTGCTAAGGGACAGACTGCTTCCTCAAGTGGGTCCCTGACTCCCATGCCTCCTGATGGGGAGACACCTCCCAGCAGGGATCGACAGACACCTCATACAGGAGAGCTCTGGCTGGCATCTGGCAGATGCCCCTCTGTGACAGAGCTTCCAGAGGAAAGAACAAGCAGCAATCTTTGATTGCCTGGGTGATACCCAGGCAAACAGGGTCTGAAGTGGACCTCCAGCAAACTCTAGCAGACCTGCAGCAGACAGTATTGACCGTTAGAAGGAAAGCTAACAGAAAAAAATAACATCAACATCAACAAAAAGGATGTCCACACAAAAAACCCATCCGAAGGTCACCAACATCAAAGACCAAAGGTAGATAAATCCACAAAGATGAGGAAAAACCAGTGCAAAAAGGCTAAAAATTTCAAAAAACAGAATGCCTCTTCTCCTCCGAAAAATCACAACTCTTCGCCAGCAAGGGAACAAAACTGGATGGAGAATGAGTTTGACAAATTGACAGAAGTAGGCTTCAAAAGGTGGGTAATAACAAACTCCTCCAAGGTAAAGGAGCATGTTCTAACCCAAAGCAAGGAAGCTAAGAACCTTGAAAAAATGTTAGAGGAATTGCTCACTAGAATAACCAGTTTAGAGAAGAACATAAATGCCTGGATGGAGCGGAGAGACACAGCATGAGAACTTCGTGAAGCATACACAAGTATCAATAGCTGAATCGATCAAGCAGAAGAAAGGTTATCACAGATTGAAGATCAACTTGATGAAATAAAGCATGAAGACAAGATTAGAGAGAAAAAGAATGAAAAGGAACGAACCAAGCCTCCAAGAAATATGGGACTATGTGAAAAGACCCAACTTACGTTTGATTGGTGTACCTGACAGCGACAGGGAGAATGGAACCAAGTTGGAAAACACTCTTCAGTATAATATCCAGGAGAACTTTTCCAACCTAGCAAGATAGGCCAACATTCAAATTCGGGAAATACAGAAAACATCACAAAGACACTCCTCGAGAAGAGCAACCCAAGGAACATAATTGTCAGATTCACTAAGGTCGAAATGAAGAAAAAAATGTTAAAGGCAGCCAGAGAGAAACATTGGGTTACTCACAAAGGGAAGCCCATCAAACTAACAGTGGATCTCTCTGCAGAAACCTTACAAGCCAGAAGAGAGTGGGGGCCAATATTCAACACTCTTAAAGAAAAGAATTTTCGACCCAGAATTTCATATCCAGCCAAACCAAGCTTCATAAGCAAAGGAGAAATAAAATCCTTTACAGACAAGCAAATGCTGAGAGATTTTGTCACCACCAGGCCTACCTTACAAGACCTCCTGAAGGAAGCACTAAATATGGAAAGGAAAAATGGGTACCAGCCACTGCAAAAACATACCAAATTGTAAAGACCAAATCAACACCATGAAGAAACTGCATCAAATAATGGGCAAAATAAGCAGCTAGCTTCATAGTGACAGGATCCAATTCACACATAACAATATTAACCTTAAATGTAACTGTGCTAAAAGCCCCAGTTAAAAGACACAGACTGGCAAATGGATAAAGAGTCAAGACCCATCGGTGTGCTGTATTCAGGAGACACATCTTATGTGCAAAGATACATATAGGCTCAACACAAAGGGATGGAGGAATATTTACCAAGCAAATGGAAAGCCAAAAAAAAAAAAAAGCAAGGGTTGCAATCCTAGTCTCTGATAAAACAGACTTTAAACCAGCAAAAATCTAAAAAGACAGACAAGGGTATTACATAATAGTAAAGGGATCAATGCAAACAGAAGAGCTAACTATCCTATATATACGTACACCCAATATAGGAGCACCCAGATTCATAAAGCAAGTTCTTAGAGACCTACAAAGAGACTTAGACTCCCACAGAATAATAGTGGGAGACTTTGACACCCCACTGTCAATATTAGATCATCAAGACAGAAAATAAACAAGGATATTCAGGACTTGAACTCAGCTCTGGACCAAGTGGACCTAATAGAAATCTATAAAACTCTCCACCCCAAATAAACAGAATATACATTCTTCTCAGTACCTCATCACACTTATTCTAAGATTGACCACATAAATGGAAGTAAAACACTCCTCAGCAAATGGAAAATAATGGAAATCATAACAAATAGTCTCTCAGACCACAGTGCAATCAAATTAGAACTCAGGATTAAGAAACTCAGTCAAAACCACACAGCTACATGGAAACTGTACAACCCACTCCTGATTGACTACTGGGTAAATAACAGAATTAAGGCAGAAATAAATAAGTTATTTGAAACCAGTGAGAACAAAGACACAACATACCAGAATCTGTGGGACACAGCAAAAGCAGTGTTTACAGGGAAATGTATAGCACTAAATGCCCACAGGAGAAAGCAGGAAAGATCTAAAACTGACACCCTAACCTCACAATTGAAAGAACTAGAGAAGCAAGGACAAATGATATCCTTTCTTCTGATTGATTGATTCGGCTATTGATACTTGTGTATGCATCATGAAGTCCTAGTGCTGTATTTTTAGTTCCCATAACAAACCCACAGGTATTATCATACTGAATGGGCAAAAGCAGAAAGCATTCCCTTTGAAAACCGGCACAAGACAAGGATGTCCTCTCTCACCACTCCTATTCAACATACTATTGAAAGTTCTGGTCAGGAAAATCAGGCAAGAGAAAGTAATAATGGCTATTCAAATAGGAAGAGAGGAAGTCAAATTGTCTCTGTTTGCAGATGACATGATTTCATACTTAGAAAACCCATCATCTCAGCCCAAGATCTCCTTAAGCTGATAAGCAACTTCAGTAAAGTCTCAGGATACAAAATCAATATGCAGAAATCACAAGCATTCCTATACACAAATAATAGACAAACAGAGAGCCAAATCACGAGTGAACTCCCATTCACAATTGCTACTAAGAGAATAAAATACCTAGGAACACAACTGACTAGGGATGTGAAGGACCTCTTCAAGGACAACTACAAACCACTGCTCAAGGAAATAAGAGAAGACACAGACAAATGGCAAAACAATCCATGCTCATGGATAGGAAGAATCAATATCATGAAAATGGCCATACTGCCCAAAGTAATTTATAGATTCAATGCCATTCCCATCAAGCTACCATTGACTTTCTTCACAGAGTTAGTAAAAAACTACTTTAAATTTCACATGGAACCAAAAAAGAGACCGTATAGCCAATCCCATTACTGGGTATATACCCAAGCATAAAGAAGAAAGCTGGAGACATCATGCTACCTGACTTCAAACTATATTACAAGGCTACAGTAACCAAAACAGCATGGTACTGGTACCAAAACAAATATATAGACCAATGGAACAGAACCTCAGAAATAATGCCACACATCTACAACCATCTGATCTTTGACAAACCTGAAAAAAAAACATGCAATTGGGATAGGATTCCCTATTTAACAAATGGTGTTGGGAAAACTGGCTAGCCATAAGCAGAAAATTGAAATTGGACCCCTTCCTTACACTTTATACAAAAATTAACTCAAGATGGATTAAAGACTTAAATGTAAGACCTAAAACCATAAAAACCCTAGAAGAAAACCTACGCAATACTACTCAGGACATGGTCATGGGCAAAGACTTCATGATTAAACCACCAAAAGCAATGGCAGCAAAAGCCAAAATTGACAAATGGGATCTAATTAAAGAGCTTCTGCACAGCAAAAGAAGCTATCATCAGAGTGAACAGGCAACCTACAGAATGGGAGAAAATGTTTCCATCGGACAAAGGGCTAATATCCAGAATCTACAAGGAACTTAAACAAATTTAGAAGAAAAGAACAAACAACCCCTTGAAAAAGTGGGTGAAGGATATGAACAGACACTTCTCAAAAGAAGACATTTATGCAGCCAACAAACATATGAGAAAAAGCTCATTATCACTGGTCATTAGAGAAATGCAAATCAAAACCACAATGAGATACCATCTCATGCCAGTTAGAATGGCGATCATTAAAAAGTCAGGAAACAACAGATGCTAGAGAGAATGTGAAGAAATAGGAATGCTTTTATGCTGTTGGTGGGAGTGTAAATTAGTTCAACCATTGTGGAAGACAGTGTGGCAATTCCTCAAGGATCTAGAATCAGAAATACCTTTTGACCAAGCAATCCCATTACTGGGTATACACCCAAAGGATTATAAATCATTCTACTATAAAGATACATGCATACATATGCTTATTGCAGCACTATTCACAATATCAAAGACTTGGAACCAACCCAAATGCCCATCAGTGACAGACTGGATAAAGAAAATGTGGCACATACACATCATGGAATACTATGCAGCCATAAAAAGGAGAGTTCATGTCCTTTGCAGTGACATGGATGAAACTGGAAACCATCATTCTCAGCAGGCTAACAGGAACAGGAAGCCAAACTCTGCGTGTTCTCACTCATAAGTGGGAGCTGAACAATGAGAACACATGGACAAAGGGAGGGGAACATCACACACCAGGGCCTGTCGGGGGTGGGGGGCTAGGGGAGGGATAGCATTAGGAGAAGTACCTAATGTAGATGACGGGTTGATGGGTGCAGCAAACCACCATGGCACGTGTATACCTATGTAACAAACCTGCACGTTCTGCACATGTATCCCAGAACTTAAAGTATAATGAAAAAAATGCAACTTTATGTTTCAGCCTAATTTATCAAATTTCAAGTTGGCCAATTCTGATAGTTGTTAGTGTTTGAATTCAGTATGAAAATTCAGTAATAATGGAATTGTTCTTTGGGTAGTAGTCACAAATTAATGTCACCAAGAAATAAGCCACTTATATGAGTAAAATTAAGGTTTATTTAAGGCATCATAACAGAACATTCATCACAAAGTCAACATGTCTTTTATATATGTTGTATTACATGTCTTTTATACATGTGGGTAGGTGTCTATCTTGGCTAGTATTAAGAGTTCTCTTGATGATTTGCACAGATTTTTAGATTCCACAAAATATATAAGAATTGTTGCATTAGTTGCCTGAGGCTACCGTATCAAATTAGCACACACTTTGTGGCTTGAAAAAAACATAAAGTTTATTTTCTTACAGTTCTAGATTCCAGAATTCTGAAATCCAGCTGGATTGTTGTACTCCCCACAGGGAGTCTAGGACAGAATCTGTTTCTTGCCTCTGCCAGCTTCTAGTAGTTGCTAGCTTGCTTGTCCTAAGGCCAAACCCCAGTTTTTGCCTTAAGCTTAATATCAACTTCTTTTCTGTGTCTGTTTATTCCTTTGTGGGTCTTTTGTAAGGACAATTGTCATTGGATTTAGGGCCTACCAAGATAATCCAGGATGATACATTCTTACTTTACTGCATCTGCAAAGACTCTTTTTCCAAGTAAGGTAATATTTGCAGGTTACATTAGAGGATTAGAACATATTTTTTTCAGAGCTACCAGTAAACCCATTACAGTAGTATCCTGGATTTCCCCTGAAGGATCTGAGGTGGTTCTTAGGGACAAGAAAGATTATGATACAATTTGGTTTTAGTTTGATTCTACTTACGATAGCATGCTCATCCATGGAGTAGGCAAACGATGCTTGCGAAAAACTGCTCCCTCTGTCCTCTGGTCTCCTGGTACATGATGAATTTAGTTTCAAACGAGACAAGAAACTTGTACCAGGATATAAACTTTAATTGACAAAGTCTTTCTAGGAAGAAAATGTCAGCCAAACAAAATAGAGTGTTTAGAGATTAAGTAATTTACATTCTGGAATGAGTTTCCTGCCTTTTAGCAGGCTAGTAATGATTTACAGAGCAGAAGTTTGTATACCTTTGTTCTAGAGGGTTTTCATATTAGGCTTCTTTCTAGTTTTCCTATTGTCTGAGAGATCGCAACTTTGTTTTGAGTAAAGGTGATTAAAAGTCCACATCTTTTACAGATATTTCACTGTCGAGGTTAATTTGTAGAAAAATTATAAGTTGTGATTTAATTTTTACTTGCTGGGAACATATACACCCTGAAGGCTTTGATTTTACCATAAAAAAATGTTGATCAGTTATACCTAACTTGACATTTTAAATTCAGTATTCCTTTCCCCTTTGGATTTGTCATCCCAAATCATCAACCCCCATCTTGTCTCTGTTGATTCTTAAATAAAACTAAAATTTTAACATGTGATTATTATCTTTATTACAATTACTTTTAACAATTTGAAAATCATGCTTTTTATATTCCTTTTAATATGAATAAAATTGTCTAAGATTATCTGGCAACATTTGGCTATAAGCTTCCCCCTTTCAAATATTAGAGATATTTTTTATTAGCAGGTTTCTCAGCAAAGGGTTTGTATTTCACATTTCAGTTAGAATTACTTCATTCATTCATTAAGCCAGCATTTCTTGACATTGTGGATACAGAGCCTCCTTAGGCATATTTTACCCTTAAGAATTAACAGACTGATAATGGATATAAAGAAAAACACACATAGTTATAATATAATTTGATACTGGATAGTTATAAACATCATGAGAGGACATAGGAGGCATATCTAATTCAAGTGAAGGATCCAATATTTCCTAGGGGAGATGACTTCTTGAGGTAGGTATGGAAGGAAAATTAGGAATCCATTCACTGCTGAATTCTCCTTAGCCACTATCTGTCACTCTAAAGGAATGTTTATTATATTTGATAAAAAAGAGATAACATCGGCACCTCAGCTTTTTCTACTAAGATCTGGTATGAACTTTGGAACAGACATAGGGCAGCATGGATAGCTCCAGAAGCTAAATAAAGGAGCTGCTAGGTAATAGAAAGAAGATACTTTAGAGCAAGTGAAAAGACACCTCAGTAAGTCTTCACCTCTTTTATCATGTATCTTGGTATGTGAAGGCCATTATTCCCATAGTTTCATTTTTTTAAAAAATCTCAAGGGATGTTTATGACAGTGTGATTTAGACTGAAGTAGGTAACTTATAAACTAAGATGCATCAAAACTAATTATGATCATTTTTGCTTCTTTTCCATTCTTTTGTGCATCTTGCCTTATGCATCACTCTTCAAGACACTGCCCCAACTTCTTCAGGTGGTTTTCTCCCTTACCAGGGTAAGCAATGTACTTAGCTTTGTCATATTAATAGGTTGTATTTCTGATATTTGAGAAGCAACCATTTGACGAGATTAAGTTTGTTACAGGTAGTTAGACAGGCATGATCAGGGCAGGAGAGGGCTGTCCCCACCCACCCACCAGGAATGTCAGGCAATCAGGTGATGATTCAAGGATTGTCACATTGCCTCTCTAAAAATAATAATATTTGGTAGCTGACACCAGGGAGAGACAATCTCCCGCTGATCCACAGCTGTTAATATTAAAGTGTTAATTGAATGCAGGCATCAGGGAGAAGCAAGAAGGGCTTCCAGTAAAATCTCAGGTATTGGGTAAGTAAGCCCAAGCATGTTCATTAAGAGACAGAATTTTGGAGAATGAGCTTCCAGGGGCACTCCACTGGAAAAGGGAAGAAAGCCTCAGATGGGCATGCATACGATTTCCTAAACACACTGCTCAGGCTCACTTCCCAAGGATAAGGAGTGCACTGCGCATACAGGGAGCCCATTCTAAGGTAAGAATCACGGGAAAGACAGGCAAGACACTGGAGGTGGGCCACCCTATAAAGTTGTAGGATTAAGGTTAAACAGAGCACTTGCTCTTCAAATGGACCACTTGGCGCTCTCTCAAGTGCACTTTCCTTTCTTTCCCGTGCTAAAGCTTTTTAATAAACTTCCAATCCTGCTCTGAAACTTGGCCTCAGTCTCTTTTTCTGCCTTATGCCCCTCAGTCGAATTCTTTCTTCTGAAGTAGGCAAGAATTGAGATTGCTGCAGACCCAGATGGATTCACCACCAGAAACTCAAATACCTTCCACTAGTAACAAACTGGTGAAGGAAGAGTTGATAATCATAGTTTGGCAGCTTCACAAGCCAAGTGGCTTGAGTCTTGGTTTAGATAAAAGATGAGACTCTTCTTCTTTGACTCCTTAAAGTCTCATTTTTTTGAGTCAGTTGAGTGGTGGGCTTTTCTCTGGTATTATCTTTGTGAATGTGCAAAGCAAGATTTGAAGCTAATCTCAAAATACCATACAACTTTTTGTTGTTGATGCTGTTATTGGCATAATGATTTACTGATTAAAAGGAGACTGTTGTTCAGGCGGCAGGACTGGCAACTCAGTATGTGGTTTGCTTATAAACCTGTGAACACAGAAATTTCTGCTCCTAGTAGGTAAGGATTTTATCTTTTCCTAATCATTAAAGATGTGTTTGCATTAGCATATGGAGTGAAATACAAAGGTTCTATCTTAAATAAATGAAACAATTTGTCACTGCATGTGGCAAGACTTCCTCCCTGTGATAATGAATACTTGTATAGGAGAGGAAACTGCAAAGAACTGGGAATTGAAATACAAAGAAGGGAGCTGAATCTTACCTTACTGAAAACAGAGCTTTTGTTTTTAAGTGTAAATCTACCATTTATTATATCCTCTGTTGAGATAAATGTATTATTCAATGTGTTTTAACTACGACCTTGAAAAATTACAAAGAAATGTATACTGCAAAAGAGAAAAAATTAATTAGGCTTAACACTAAAAGAGTTTCTTTTGTTTAAATTATCTAAAGTAAAAAGAAGTATTAAGCCTTTGTGAAATGAACTTTGACTCCTTTTCTAATTATCAAGTGAAAATTTCCATAACTAATTATTTGTTTTACAAAGATAAGTTTCCAAACCCGTAGTGCACTTGGAATAAGATTCATTAAATTACATAATTTTATGCTGAAACTACATCTTAGATTTATGGAAAGGAAATTTTCACAACTATTCCCATAAATAAATA
Organism: Homo sapiens; assembly: GCF_000001405.40. Lineage (NCBI taxonomy): Eukaryota > Metazoa > Chordata > Mammalia > Primates > Hominidae > Homo > Homo sapiens. The sequence continues at coordinate 144,962 of NW_021160014.1, forward strand.
GCATACAGAGTGAATAACCATACTTCGAAGGAATCTGATAAATGTAAAAATAGAACAACTGTCTTAATTTTACATCGTACGGAATCTTGCAAACCAACATGTAAGACTCTGAGACATTCATTATTGTTTATAAAATAATTGCAATGATAGAGTTTAAACGTTAAAATATATCTGCCATGAGAATTACAAATTATAGACTTATTATAAGAATAAAGTTTTATGTAATTGTGGGAGAGACTGGGGAAAAAAAAATCTAAGGGAGATTTGGGAGATCAGGGAAAAGTCACAAATCAGTCCTACTAAAATAACGATTTATGCAAAAAAGTCAGGAGTTGCAGGGGATTCTGGGAAGCCGGTAATGTAGAGCTGCCAAATAAAATGGAAACATCAGAGAAGTAAAGGGAAAATATTTGGGGAAATTGTTCACATTGCATAAATCCTGCTTTTAAAGGTCTTCAGCAGAACATCTGACTGTGGGCTTCAGTTTCTTTTCAGCCACAGGGCTGGCAGTGAGAAGAGCTGAACACAGAGTAACACAAAATGGAACCAACTCTTTTTGACTGTCACAGCATTCAATTTAATCACCTTCAAAGAGTAATGGTAGCTGCTTAACTTCTGTCTTCTAAATGTGAAACAATTTCTTATTTTGGCTAACTCTAATCACAGTGACAGGAGGCAGTCATATGCCTAGGTAGATAGGGACAGGTCCTCAGTGAAACCCCACCTCCAAGGAAGACAGTTTAAAGCCTGAAAGCCAAGCTACAAGTCAAATCCACAGACTGGATTAAGAACCTGTCTTCCCATTTGGCAGGCTTTCCTCTGAGTGATCCCCACCCTTCGCCTCTTTTACAGATACCTACCCTTTCCTAATTGGTTTTCTATAGTCGTGCCCACCTTTGCACCATGTCTTCTCTTTAACCTTTTTTGCATACTCAAAGCCAATCAGCATGCACTCCCCATTCTGAGTCCATAAAATTCCTGGACACAGCCACACTGGAGGAGAAACCCACCTGAGTGCAGGGGTGAGGAACCACGCCTGTGGCCCCTCTCCACTGAGAGCTGTTCCATCACTCAATAAAGTTCTTCCCCGCCCTCCTCGCTCTTTGAACTGTCAGTGTATCCTCATTCTGCTTGGATGAGGGACAAGAGCATGAGAACCACCAAATACAAGTACAAGTTATACCACGGGCAGGCCAAGTCGGTGGGGTGCCTCCAGTGGCAGGCCCGGCCTGAGTGAGGCCTGGGTAGCAGGGGGGTGTTGCTAATTGTGGAGGTCCCTGGTTGGCAAAGTGGCTGAGAAAAATCCTGCATCACTAGGCTGGAGGATATAAAATATGAAATTCCAGGCAACAGTTTTAACATAACTAAGTTGACAGAGTACATACTGCTACATAGTGGAATATAAATTATATAGACTTCTAAGTAATGGCTAAGAAAAATAATTGAGACAAGTGCATAGAAATTAATCTAGTAACAACCACATCAATTCTGCTTTTACCATTATAGAAAGTGTAAGTTATAGAAGACAGAAATGTGTATAATGGTAATAAATTAAAATTGCAGAGACTATTGGATTAAATTTAGTAGCATCTGAGAAAAAACTCAGATAACGGTAGGTAACCATGAATAAATTTACTTTGAGGATGAAAAGAACAAGCTCATTGATGGTCTAATTGTTTTTGATATGGAAAAATATTAGGGTTAATAGAAAATAGAAACATTTTAAATTGTTAGCAAAATTGTTATAGAAATCTCTCCAAAAACATCTTACATAAACTTAGTGAGGTCATTCTGAATGGAAAATGAATGAGAGTAATATGAAGATTTCATCCATGCAAATCATATCTTCTTTTACATGGATGGACCTTCCTGTACGGGAATACACTGGAACCTCAAAATCAGAATTTCAGGACAGTTTTGTCTTACGTGGGAACAGGGAGCAAAAGAAGGTAAGCAGAAAAAAAATAAGAGGTGACAAAATATTTTTATCTTGTTTCATCTTTTTTTCCCAACAATACATTTTTTTAAAATTTTAATCCTGCAGAACTTTATAGTAAACAACCATACACTTTTTACTCAGGTTGACAAATTGCTAAGAGTGTGCAGTTGTTTTGCCTATAAATAGATAGATGGATGAATACATACATGGATGGATGGATGGATGGATGGATGGATGGATGGATGGATAGATAGAGATAAAGTGTGTTTAAAAGACTTTTTAGCTCCTCATATCAAAGGCAAAGTTGGTATCCCAACGGCTTGAATCTGGGGTGGTCTTTTGTCTTGCTTTGATCCATGGAATGCAGCAGAAGTGTCATCATGTGAGTCTTCAATCTAGGTCATGAACTCTTAGAAGCTACCACTCTCCTCCTATTGGAAATCTGCTGTGATAGGAATATACTCCAGCTAACCTTCACAAAGTCCACGTAGAGCATAATTAAGGTGCTCAAACCAATAGCCTACAAAGCACTAGGCATGTGAATATAGTGATCCCAGATCATCCACTCCCAGAAGAAATGTCAGGTGACTGACTCCATTATGATTGAGCTCAGGAAGATGAGCAGGATCATCCTTCTGAGCCTTTTCCTTATTGGCAGCCAGAAATTTGTGAGTTAATAATTGATTGTTACACTAAGCCATTAAGTTTGGGGTCGTTTGGAATAGAAAAGTCTAAACAATACAATCGATAAATGACTGCTTTAGCCATTACTCAGTGAGTAACAGACCTAAAAATTCTTCATTGTTAAGTACTTCAGCATATAACTTCCAAGAATATATAATTTCAGTGTAATTTTCATACTCAAGTAAGTTAACTGATTAATATTATCTACTATACGTACTGAAGTTTTCTTAGTTCAGTGATGTTAGTTATATCATTTTCAGCTTTTATTTGGTATAATCAAGGATCAAAAATAAATTTATTAGTCATGCCTCTTTAATATCCTTTAATCTAAACGCATACCCTTATTCTTATAGTGTTTTCATTTTTTACAATCCTTGCCAATTTTTTTGCAGAATATTTCTCAATATAGATTTTTCAAATTATGTAGTTATGATTGGATGTAAGTAAAGCATTTTTGATAGATAAGACCTATATGATGCCATCTACTTCCCAGTGTATTACATTAAAAGGCACATGATTTCAGTTTATACTGAAATTGGTATAAAATTCATTATGCTAATTTCGATCATTGGGTTTAAGTGGTGTCTGATTTTATTACTTTTTTAGTACATCTTTATTTTTAATCACAGTAAGAAAGTCATTACCCATATCCAGGTCCCAGGTGAATCTACCCATGCTGTGTATATATGTATTCTTTTGATTCTTTATGATTTGAGGTACAGATCCAATTATACATTTTCTTAAATGGCTACTCAACTGATTTATACCATTTATTAAATATTATTATAGCATTGGCTTGATATTTCATCTTTATCACAAATTATCCATATTACTGGGTGGGTCAGTCTATTTTGACTTTCTGTTTTGTGCCTCTCTCTACTCTTGAAGCAATATTGCTTAATATAGAAGCTCTAAGGCAATACAATCCAGTAGACTTTCGGAGGTAATGGAAATGTTTCATAGCTGCATTGTGCAAAATGATAGCCACTTGAAATATGGCCAATATGACTGATAAACTGAATTTTTATTTTATTTACTTTTAGTTAATTTAAATTTTGACTTACAAAGATACTTGTGACTAGTGGCTACTGTACCAGAGAGTATACTATCAAGGGTGTTCTATATTTGTCAGGGGTCAACTGTCCTCATTGCTTTCACTTTTGATAGTTTTTCTAGAATTTATCGAATGTCCATTTTTCATATATAATTTAGAACTGACTGTTCCCTAATCTCAGATAAAGAATGTTGATATTTTATTGGCATTATATCAAAATATATAAATTAACTTAGAAAAAATTAACATATATGTTTCCATAGTAAACAATTTAACCTTGTCCAAAAAGAGGTCTGACCTTTGCCTTCAAATTCTAGGACATGACTTAGGGTGGCGGCATTGGGTCATGCAATATCAGGTTGAACTGCAGAGGGGATAGAGACTGAGGTCAACCTTCAATAAAAATTATGGACACCAAGACTCAGGTGAATTTCCTTGGCTGTCAATATTTAATGCCTATTGTAACATAGTGTTAATGTTATACATGACTTTACTGGAAAAGGACAACTGAAAATTCTGTATTTGGAGCTTTCCTGGACTCTGCTTTGTGGGTCTCTTCCCTTAGCTGATTTCAGTGCATGCCCTTTCACTGTAATAAATGATAACTATGAGTATTGACAGCTTTCTGTGAGTTTTGTGAGTCCTTCTATTCAATTATCAAAGCTGAAGGTAGTCTTGAGTACCCCAATACTTGCAACTGATGTGCGAAGTAAGGGTGGTCTTGAGGACCCCTAACTCTTCAGTTGGTGTCTGAATTAGAGTGATCGTGTGGACTGTTTTCTAACCTCACAACATGACAATGCATTTCATCCAAAGAATGCATTTTCAGTTGCTTAAAGCTATTTTTATATGATTTGAGTTTTTTATGGCTTTTCTTATATAGATTTTGACCTTTTTTTTCTAATTTTATTCCTAAATGTTTTTTTTTTCTTTCTTTTATTTTTGGAATACTGCTAGTGTTAGAAGAGTTTTCCCTTCTGTCTTATCTCCTAACTAGTTTTTGTTTGAGTTTATGAAGGCTACTATGCTAATTGTATATTTGGTTACTTTGGGAATTATTTGCCTTGAGTTAGTTCTATGATTATCAAATATTTTTCAGGTATATTATTAGTTCTTGTGGAAATAGGGATAGTTTTATCTTTTCCTAATTTCTGCCTCAAATTCTTGTCTCTTTTCTAATTGTATTGGATAAATTGAATAGACAGACATGTAAAGTATCTATGAATTCCTATTTTTATTCTTTTTTTCAATCAAGGATGAGAGTTGCATTTTATGATTGTCTTTATATCAATGAATATGATGAAATATGTTAATTTATATCATAATATAGAATTGTCCTTTCACTCTTGTATTCCTAGGGTAAAATCCTAGATGGTTTTTCTGTAAGAAATTCTCAATGTACTGCTCTAATATATGTGCTGATATTTTATTTAGGGTTTTTACACTGATATTTGTAAGTGAGATAGGTTAGCTTTCTTTCCATTTTCTTGTATCATTTTTTGTAAAATTTATCAAGTATGGGTATCAATGCTACATTTTAAATGTAAATTTGAGGTTTAATATGTAAATTTCAAGTTTTTCACCATTTTTATTTTCTGGAACAATTTATATAGCATTGGGATTCACTGGTGTTTGAAGTTTGATATTGTAAAAACATCTGGACCTGGTAAATTGGTGAATTGTGTGTGTGTGCATGTGTGTGTGTGTGTGTGTGTGTATGCAAGAGAGAGAGATACTATTTAATAATAATTTACCTCTCCTCTGAAAGTTTACCTCTCTGAACTTTTAATGGCTATGGGTCAATTTTGGTAAACTGTATTTCCAGCCATGTTTCTTCCATTTTAACTTGTGCTGAACTTAGATGTGAGAAGAGTATTAAGTTTTTTAAATGTCCTGCTTCATTTGGAGCACATTTATCCCCATGAATAACTTGTTTAAATATTATGGCTTAATGTATGAATTTTAGGTTCAACATGAAATCTACCAGAGCTTGTATGTGAGGTTTTGTTCAAATTTCCCATGCTGTTCAAAGCCTAGTATTTACCTTCTGTGCTGTGTGAAGTCATTAATACAGAAGTGCTGGGGATGGGCTGAAGCTCCTTGGTAGCCTCAGACTTAGAAATTTTTTTACTTCTGACCTTGGAAATGTCTATTTATTTCTTTACTAGCTCAGTCATGTGCTAATAAAATAAAATAGATGATATATTTCATCAGAACTTTTTAGTAAAAACAATTTCAGTATATGCAATCTGCCATAAAAATTTGACATAAAAGAATACAAATGACATCTTCCAGTTTATATTAAATAAAATAAATTCATATGGATTGCTTTTTTCCCTATTAAATTAGCTGTTGTATTATAGCACTAGTGATCCATTGTCTTCATCTCTTTTCACTAACGGATAATTTTATATTGAAAATGTGTCTTAGGATTTCTCATTTATAAGTTCACTTATTTTTTAAATCAGTTAATACTGAGGTTTTACATTTGAAAACACATCCATATTAATGCAAATAATTCTATTAAATACCATAGATTACTAAGATTATATAACATCTTTACCAAGATCATTAAATTTAAACTATTATTTGTTTATACAATTTCTACATCTAATTCTTCTCATTTGCGACACTCTCCATCTGCAGTTCATAACAAATAAGTAATATCTGCCTCTTCACGTTCCTTTCATAGAACATCATATAAATATTTGGTCTACATGGCAGTCAATAAGTTTTATGGATCCTGCATATGTTATAGAAAGTTTTTTAAAAAATAGTTTTCTTATAATTCCAAAAAAAAGGTTCTTGCTGTCAGTTCAAATGGAATAAATGCTAAGTAACTAATTCACTAATGGAAAGACCAACTCAAGGTCAACTATTTTCTGTGCTCTACCTAGAAATGTTACTGTGAGTAGAAGAAAAATTCTAAATAATGACTGGAGGTTATTTGTCATAAATAATTGCTCTTGAATACAATACTAAAATCTGCATTAAAAATAAAATATTTTATATCTGTGCACAGAATATTCAGATGTCAAAAGGAGGCCAACTTCATAATAGGAAAACTTAAATTATAAGTAACTGTTAGAAAAATTTTTCACTGAATGCTTATTGCTTTATGTATCAACATAGACATTTGACTATTTTCCAGTTTTATTGAGGTATAACTAATAAAAATTGTATATATTCAAGTTATACAACGTGAGTTGATATATGTATACACTCTGAAGTGATTACCACAATTAAATTAATTAACATATATAATCACACAATTACCCTTGTGTGTGTGTGTCTGTCTAAGTGTGTATAGCAAGGTTCTTTCCCAAAGATTTACTATCGCAGAAATTTCAAATAAAGAATACATTATTATTAGCTAAAGTCACCATGCTATACATTAGAATATTATATTTTATTCATCTTATAACTGAATTTTTGTACCCTTTTGACCAGTAGCTCCCCATTTTCCCTAACCCCCAGCCTCTGACAAACACCATTCTATTCTGATTCTATAAGTTTAATTTTTTTAGTTTTCACTTACAAGTAAGGTCATAGAGTATCTTTTTGTGGCTGGCTCATTTTACTTAGTATAATGATCCAGATTGTTGCAAATGGCAGGATTTCCTTCTTTTTATAGTTTAATAATATTCCACTGTATATACACACCACATTTTCTTTTTCCATTTATTCAATGGCAGACACTTAGGTTGTTCCCAGTCTTAGCTATTGTGAATAATGCTACAACAAATTAGGGGTGCAAATATGTCTTTGAGATACTGATTTCATGTCCTTTGAATATGTATTCAAAATTGGAATTGCTAGATGTGGTAGTTCTATTTTTAATTTTTAGGTACCTCCATAATGTTTTACACAATGACTTTACCAATTTACATTTCCAGCAATGGTGTGTGAGGGTTCCCTTTTCTCCACGTCCTTAACATTTGTTTTCTTGTCTTTTCAATAATAGCTAGATAATAGATTTCTAATAGATAATAGATAGATAGAGGCAACATCTCATTGTGGTTTAGATTTGCATTTCCCAATAGTGATGTTAGCCCTTTTTCATATACTTGTTGGCCATTTTAATGACTTTGTTGAAAAGATGTCTATTTAGGTCATTTGCCCGTTTAAAATCAGGTTATTTGAGTTTTTTGTTTATGTGTTTTCTTGTTGTTGTTGTTATTGAGCTGTATGAGTTCTTTATATATTTTGAATATTAAAAGCAAAAATAAAAGAAGGGGATTGAAAATGAAAAGCATCTGCACAGCAAAGGAAGCAATCAACAACAGGCAGTCCAAGGAATGGGATAAAATATTTTCAAAACATATATTTGATAAAGGGCTAATATCCAAAATATGTTACTTACTCATAGGCCTTTTGGTTTTAATTTAATTCTTTTTCGTTTGACACTTTTTTCTTAAATCTTAGTATGCCTTTCTTAATCATATCTATCTATCTGTATATATATCTCATCACACACACACACACACACACACACACACACACATATATATATGTACACACATACCCATATGTATCTTTCTAACTGCCAGGAAACTCTAATGCAATGTATTATCACAACAGGTTGCCTAAAAAATGGTCAGTGACAAATTTCTAAAGAGTATTTGCTCTAAAGAGAATCTCAGCAAGAGATAGTAAACTAAAGCCTTTTTAAAATGTAATAATTTAAGATAGTCTATACATATAAGCATTTATAAAGATAATATATTGAAAAAATCACAAAACACAAAAGTATATAGAAAATTATATAAAATTCACTGTAATTCTATTATCCAAGAGACATGACGAATGTGTTGCTACAGTTGCTTTTTATTTGTAACATATCTGAATGTGTATTTTTTAAAGTAGCAACATTACTGAATATATTTTTAAACTATGAACTTTTTTCTCTTTTACATTGTACTAGGAATATTTTTTCATAATAATAAAATATACTTTTAAAAAACCTAGTCTTTAAAGACTAGACAAATGGTTTGCCACCTATTTAATCAATGCAGTTATTCTATTTTGGGAAATGTCAGTTGCTTACAATTTACTATTATAAAAAATGCCACATTGATATACATGATATCAAAATTTTCCTGAATAATTTATCATTTGTAAAGGTTGAATTACTGAATCAGGGTACATGTTTTTCATAAGGAGTATATAAATTTAATATTCCACTAATTTAATGTAAATTAGTCTATTAAGTAGGTATAAATGATATATTTCTTTGGATTTTGCATTTCTTTCTTTTATTCCAAGTAAATGTGAAAATTTTTATGGGCTAATTACAATTTTATCTTTAATATCAGGGTGTTAAAAATTCGATATTTTGGGATCGAGATAAAATCTACATAGAATTAAATGCATAAAATATTGAGTTTTAATATATGTATGTACTCAAACACCATCAAAATCAAGGCATAAAATAATTCCATTACCTCAGAAAGTTCTCTTGTGTCTCCTTTCCAACAACCACAGAAACCACTCTTTTAAATTATATCACAACAGATTAGGTTAGCCTCCACTCAAACTTTATATAAATGGGTTCATATCTGTTTTTAGTGTCTAGCTTTCTTTATTCAACAAAATATTTTTGAGTCTTTCCATGGTGTAAATGCTGCATGTATCAGTAATGCATTTTTATTTATTAATTTATATATATTATTGGTATTTAACTGTATGACTAAAATGTTAGTTTATCTATCTCTGGTTGGTAAATAATTACACTGATTCCAGTTTTATTCTGTTTTGAAAAAAGTATACAAACATTTTATACACTTTTTTGTGAATATATACATTTTAGTTTCTTTGGATAAATACTGAGCAGTCATATTGCTGGGTCTTAGTTTATTAGAAATTGAAAACTCTTTTTCAAATTGATTGTATGATGTGCAATGCTATTAGTAATGTAAGAGATGTTCTTCCACATCCTTGCCAACATTTAGTGCTCTTTTTTTATGTTAGTCATTTTAGATGTTCTAGTATCTCACTGTGATTTTAAATTATATTTTCCTAACTAGTAATAATGTAATGATATGGAGAAGATTTCATATCTAATGACCATAAAGTGTGTTTATTTATGATGATTTGTATATCATCCTTATGGAATACTTGTTCAAACGTTTTGCCTGTTTTTATTTTTTATTTTTATACATTTATAATAACTTTATTCTTGATTCACCTTTTATCAGATGTGTCTCACAAATAAATTTCTATGAATTTGTGACTTCATTTTTTAACTGTATCTTTTAATGAGTTCCTTTTATTTTGTATAAATTCTGTCATTAATTTTATTTTATGTTTAGTAAATTTTGTGTCCATAGATGTAGTAATTTATTTTTAATTTAATTTTACTGTGGCAAGAAAATATGTACTATAATATTTCAGTGTTTTGAAATGGTTCAGAAACATTTTATGGCTCTATCTTCATTAACATTTTCATATGCACTTGAAAAAAATGTGTATTCTTAATGTTTGATGAAGTACTCTATATGTCTATTAGAGCACCCAAGACAAGCTACCAAGTAACCAACTCATGATTCCACTAACCATGTAAAAGCCTGGTGCCCACTTACCACAGGGGGAGAACCTTAGCCAAGCAACAAGCTGACCAGCCTCATGCTTCCCTGAAGTATGGGCTGGACTGCACTCCACCCCCAGAAGAGTATAACCAAAATAGATGGATCAGCCACACAAACCTCTGCAGCCTAAGCTACTGAAGCATGCACATGTATCACTGACAGTAACTATAGCTGAAGAAACAGCACAAAACTGCACTATGGCACTGACCCAAAATGAAGTCAACCATTGGTTTTACCCTACCCAACCAACAATCTAGGACACATCTGCAGGTAAAAGTCTTTTCCCACAAAAACTACTCTACAAAATTGGAAGATATGACTATTCTGCCAAATATATGGATACAAGAAACATAAAAATGCAAGGAAGCATGACACCACTAAAGAAGCACAATAATTCTCTGTTAACTGAGAATTATACCAGTTCTTCTTTGGGAAGAAATGGAAATTTATGAATTGCCTGAAAAGGAATTCAAAATAATAGTATTAAGAAAACTCAGAAAAATATAAGAGTATGCAGATGAACAATTTAACAAATTCTGGAAAACAACTTATCATCTGAATTAACAATTCAAAATGAGATAGATATTAAAAAAGAACCAAACTGAAATCTTGAAGCTGAAGAACTCAATGAATAAAATTCTTTAAAATAATCCAGTCATATATAAAAAAGAATACAATAGAATAAAGAAAGTCTGTTGGACTATGGGACACCATTAAGTGAAAAAGTTTTTTAATTAAGAGAGTTTCAAGACAAGAGATGGGAAAAGGCTTGGAAAACCTATTTAATGATATAATATCTGAAAACTTCACAAGTCTTGGAAGACATATGGACAACTAAATTCAGGAAGCCAAAGATTCCATATAGTTTCAAACTAAAATGATCCTTTCTGAGGCACATTATAGTCAAACTGAAAAGTCAAAGACAGGGAATTCTAAAAATCTTAAAGAATAGCATCAAGTTGCATACGCGGGTGTGCCCATTAGAAGAATCTTCTCACAGAAGATTTCTCTCAGGATTCGACAGATCATCTAAGCAGAAAACCAACAAAAAACATAAGATTTAATCTGCAGTATAAAAAAAGGACCTAAAAAACATGTACAGAACATTCCATCCAGCAATAGCAGAATACACATTCTTCTCATTGGTGCCTGGAACGTCTCTCAGGATAAACCACATACTAGCCCAAAAAAATAAAGTATTAATAAATTTAAGAAAAATTAAAATATATCAAGTATTTTTGGGACCATAATAAAATAAACCTAGAAATCAATAACAAAAACTTTGAATACTGCACAAATACATAAAAATTAAACAACCTCTCCTAAACAACAATGTGTCAAGGAAGAAATTATTAAGGAAGTAAATAAATTTATTGAAACAAATAAAAACAGAAATACAACATGCTAAAACCTATGGAATACAACAAAAGTAGTATTAAGAGTGAGGTTTATACCAATAAGGACCTACATCAAAAATTTAGAGAGGTTTTAAACAACCTGACGATGCAACTCAATACACTAGAAAAGTGAAAACAAACCCAACTGCAAATTAGTAAAAGGAAATAAATAATAAAAGAGCTGAAATAAGTAACATAAAGACAAAAATAATATAATCAAATAAATTTGTCTTTTGAAAAGATAAATAAAATCAACAAGCTATTAGACTACCTAAGGAAAGAATAAAGAAAGAAAAACCAAATAAATAAAACCTAAAATGAAATATGAGACGTTACAGCAGATACCACAGAACTGCAAGGGATCATTACAGATGATTATGAACAACTATATGCTAAATAAAAATGGAAAACCTAGATGGAATTTATAAATTTCTGGACACATACATCCTACCAAGATTGAACCTGGAGGAAATAGACAACTTGAACAGACCGGTAATGACTAATAAGATTGAATCAGTAAAAAAGAAAAGAGCATTCTAACAAAGAAAAGCCTGGGACAAGATGACATTATTGGCAAATTCTACCTAACATTTAGAGAAAAATTAATAATATTTTTGAAATTATTTCAAAATATTGAAGGATGGAGAATTCTTCCTAACTCATTCTATGTGACAAGCATTATCCCTATACCAAAACCAGGAAAGGACACTCCAATAGCAACAACAATAACAATGAGAAAAAACCTAGAAGTCAGTATTTCTGATGAATATAGGGTGCAAATATCCTCAAGAAAATACCAACAAAGTAAATCCATAAGCACATAAAAAAGATTATACACCATGATCAAGTTGGACTTTCCTAGGGATGCAAGAATGATCCAGTATACATGAATCAATAATGTGATATATCATACCAACAGAATAAGGAATAAAAATCATGTAATCCTTTCAATAGATGCAGAAAAACCATTTGATAAAATTCAGCATTTCTTGATGATAAAAACACTCAACAAATTAGCTTTAGAAGAAACATACCTAAATGCAATAAAGGCCATGTATGACAAGTTCACAGCCAACATCATAATGAATGGGGAAAAGTTGAAAGCTTTTGCTCTAAGAACTAGAACAAAACAAGGATGACCACTTTTACAACTCTTATTCAACATAATACTGAAAGTCCCAACCAGAGCAATCAGGAAAGAGAAAGAAATAGAACATATTGAAATTGGAAAAAAGAAAGTAAATTGTCTCTGTTTGCAGATGACATGATCATATAACAGAAAAATCTAAAGGAGCCATCAAAAATCTCTTGGGTCCAACAAATGAATTCAGTAAATTTGCAGGATGTGAAATCAATGTATAAAAATCAGTACCATTTCTATATACCAACAATGAACCAGTGGACAAAAGTATCAGGAAAGCAATGCCATTTATAATAGCAACAAAATAAATAAAAAATGTAGGAAGAAATTTTCCAAGGAGATGAGAGATCTCTACAATGAAAACTCTAAAATATTGATTTTAAAAGTTGAAGAGCGCACACACACAAAAATAGAAAGATATCCTATGTTTATGGACTGGATGGATAAATTTTGTTAAAATGACCATACTGCCCAAGATGATCTACAGATTCAATGCAATCCCTGTAAAAATACCAAAGATATTCTTCACTGAAATAGAAAAAAAAAATCCTAAAATTTATATGGAACCAGAAAATACCCTAAGTAGCCAAAGCAATATTGAGAAAAAAAAAAAAAAAAAAAAAAACAAAACATAGTTAGAGGCATCACATTACCTGACTTCAAATTATGCTACAAAGCTATAGTAGTCAAAACAGCATGACATTGGCATGAAAACAGAAGTGTAGACCAATGGAACAGAATAGAGAACCCAGAAACACTTCCACATTTTATAGCCAGCTGCTATTCAATAAAGGTGCCAAAAACATTGGGGAAAGGACAGTCTCTTGGATAAATGGTGTTGGGAAACCTGGATATCCATATGCAGAAGAACAAATCTATTCCTCCATTTCTTACCATACACAAAACCAATTCAAAATAAATTAAATACCTAAAAGAAAGACTTGGAAACTATGGAACTACTAGAATAAAACATAAGTGAACTGCTTTAAAATATTGATCTTAGCAAGGATTTTATGGTTAAGACCTCAAAACCACAGGTAACAAAAGCAAAAATAGTGGGATTATATCAAATTAAAAATGTTCTACAGAACAAAAGAAACAATCAATAGAGCTAAGAGACAACCTGAAGGATGGGAGAAAATATTTGCAACTATTCATCTAATAATTGATTAATATCCCATATAGGTAACTCAAACAACTCAACAGCAAAAAAGTAAAAATAAAAATTGATCAAAAACGTTCAAATGATCTCAGTAGACGTTTCTCAGAGGAAAACATACAAATGGCCAACTACATGAAAACATGTTTAACATCACTAATTATTGAAAGAAAACAAACCAAAACCACAATGAGATATCATCTCACTCTGGTTAGAATGGCTATTAGTTTAAAAAAATGGTGATGACGATGCAGAGAAAAAGGAACTCTTATACATGATAGATGGGAATACAAATTTGTATGGATGTTCCTCAAAAAGATAAAAATAGAATTGCCATATGATCCTCCAATCCTATTATTGGGTATATATGCCAAGGAAAAGAAATTTGTTTGTCAAAGAGATATCTGCACTCCCATGTTTATTACAGCACTATCCACAATAGCCAAGATATGCAGTCAACCTAGTGTTCATCAACACATGAATGGATTAAAAAATGTGGCATATATACCATTCAGCCATAAAAAGCATGAAGTCTTGTCATTTGCAGCAACATGGATGGGCCTGGAGAACATTATGTTCAGTGAAATAAGTCAAGCATGGAAAGATCAATACCACATGTTCTCAGTCCTACGTAGAAACTTAAAAGTTGATCTCATAGAAGTAGAGAGCAGAATAGTGGTTACTAGTGGCTGAGAAGAGTGTTTAGGAAGGTTATGGATACAAAATTATAGCTAAGTTGGAGGAATAGTTCAAGTGTTCTATAGCACTGTAGAGTGAATATAGTACACAATAATTATTTTATTTTTTCAAATAGCTAGAAGAGAGGATTTTGGATGTTCCCAACACAAAGTTTTGAGGTGACAGGTATGCTAATTACCCTAATTTGATCATTACTCATTGTATACATGTATCAAAATATCACATTGTACCCCATCAATATTCACAATTATGTGTCACTTTAAAAATATTTATTTAAAAAAATTTAAAATATTTATTAGGCCAAGGTGTGTGATGGTATTATTCAAAACTATAAACTTATTAATTTTATTTTCTATTCTATTAATTACTAAAATATGGGTATTAAAATATCTAGGTATGACCACAGATTGTCTATGTATCGTATCAGTTCTGTTGGTGTTCTCAACGTATTTTGAAGCTTTGCTATTGCTATTGGGAGTATGCACATTTATGGTTATTGTGTCTTCTTTTTTTAAAATTACTCTTTATAAAATTGTTTTCTTTATCTCTAATTATCTTCCTGTCTTGAAAATTCACTTGTTTTTGTTGAAACAGTCCAGCTTTCATGTGATTATTGTTTACATTATATATCTTTTATTCATCATTTTACTTTCCACCTAAGACTTTATCTTTAAAGTACATGGATTATAGTCACCATATAACTGTTGAGCTCTTTTTTAAAAATCCGGTCTCAAAACATCTAATATTTAGTAGCATGTTTAGCCCATTTACATTAAATATAGTTGTTGATATTGTTGGATTTGTTTCCACCATTCTGTTATTTGTTTAGTATTTATCTCTGTATACTTTGCATTCCTCTGTTTCTCTTTTTCTGCTTTACCTTGGGTAAGTGGAATGCTTCTTTTAAGATTCAAGTTTAATGTTTATATTTTATTTTGCATTTTTAGAGGATCCTCCTTGAACTGTACTGTTCAATACAGTAGCTTATATGTACCTATATGTATCTATTTAAATTTCAAATTTAATTAATTAAACTGAATATAATGATTTGTCTATCACTTTCCTAGAGATAGAAATAACATAATCAAATTTGCATTTTAGAAAATAATTCACATTAAGAATGTTATAAAGGATGGACTCAAGGCAGGAACACACAGAGGATATGAAAATGAAAACAGGAATATAGAATGAGAGGATTTCAGAAAAATACATTATTATTAAATAAGCTAATATAATGAGGGTCTGAATTAGAGAAATGGCAATGAGTTTAGAATGGATTCTAGAGATACTTAGCAATAGAAGCAATGGGAATTACTGAATAGTGTTAGTGAAAGGCTCGTGAAAGAAAACCATGTCAAAGATGAGATTTGTAATTAGATCGATTGTTCTTTTTTAATGTTTTGACAAGCATCAGGAATACAGAAGCAGGAGACAATTTTAAAGTGAGGTGAGTAAAAAAATGAAATTAATTTTGAACTTAAAATTGCGTGCCTATGGCTTTTGGATGTGTCCAATAGGAAGGATGGAAGAGCAATATATTTTAATTTTGTGCAGTTAGTAAAATAACATCAAAGTCTCTAAAATTATACATCTCAGTACAGAAATGTATAAAATAGAAGCAAATAGGACAGTCTAATAGAATATAAAAATAATGAAATGGCATCTCACTGATTGTCTGATCATTCTCTCTTTTTGGAAATAAAGATTCCCAAACTACCTAATGCTGATTTCATTACTATTTTGTTATTTCAGAGTCTTCTGTTTCCGTTTTGGGTAGCCCTTTTCCTTTCCCAACTCCCTACTGCATTCAGTGAAAAGGGCTCTCAAGTTCACCTGTCAAATTCAATTAACTGCTGTAAGCTGTCCATGGTGACACTTGCTATAATTAATAGAGAAAACCAGCATAAATGCACCCTTCAGAGTACTCTGTAATTGAGTGTGAAGTCTCATGAGATCTCTTCCTCAATTCCAAGTGCATGGAGGTTTTGGATGGTATGTGGGTTGTGCTATAGAAACCATTTATAAACAAGTTGTATGTGTGTTGCCCAAACTTCCAAATACCAACAGGTTTGCACTCAGGAATCATGGTTTGAGAACACTGAGAGTTTTCTGTGTAAACAGGCAGTTTTAACTTCTTTTTTTGCTTATTTATCTGAATAGGTATTTCAAATTTTTCCCTTCTTTTTACTCTCACCTATCTATAAAAGAAAATTATTTCAATCTTCTGTAATATAATGACCATTGAATTGAACCATGTTTAATTCTAGGTGATAATTACATAATACTTTAATAAAAATAATATTTTCTTTCAAAAATAGCAAGCAACATTTTCAAATTACTTTCCTCATTGTCCACAAAATTTGACATATTTTCTTTTCTTTTTTTTTTTGAGACAGAATCTCGCTCTGTCTCCCAGGCTTGACGTCTCACTGCAACCTCTGCCTCCCCGGTTCAAGCAACTCTCCTGCCTCAGCCTCCTTAGTAGCTGGGACTACAGGCGTCTGCCACCACGCCTGGCTACTTTTTGTATTTTTAGTAGAGACGGGGATTCACCATAGTGGCCAAGCTGGTCTCGAACTCCTGACCTTGTGATCCACCCGCCTTGGCCTCCCAAAGTGCTGGGATTACAGGCGTGAGCCACCCCGCCCAGTGGATATATTTTCATAGTGGTCAGATTCATTAACACAACTTCTCAAAAGAGAAAATATTAAAATGTGCAGAAATAGTTTAAAATGCCATTAAAATTTAGGATTTCATGCTATTTTCTAAATAAGCATTAAGCAATATAACTTTGTCTCTGTAACAGAATTTGCAAAGCTTTCTTGGAGTGCCAGTGTGACAATTCTGATTAAAAGTTAAATTGATCACTACTAGATGGTAGCCTAGGCAGGGACTATTGGTCCATATTGCTAATTCCTAAATTTGTGTTGGGACAATAAGATAATACATGTGTTATAATTATCAGTTCTAGGCATAGAATGGGCATTTAGTAAATACTAGTCATTATTTTTATTTTTAAATTAACATTTAATAAATATTTACTGTGTATCAGTCATGGTATTAGGTAATCTAAAAATTGATTTGTTAATCAGTCCTTTTAAATTTTTCAATTCTGAATTTTTACTAAACTTTGATTATTTTTATAGTCCATATATTATATAGAAATATATTTAATTTTATAAATTTTAGCACAATTATTTTTAACAAAAAATTGATACTTAATTATAAGTATACTCTATCAATCCAAATTAAATACTAAGGCCTTAACATATTTTTTGCAATTTTTTTACTTCAACATTTTCACACCATTTTTAGATTGTCAAAGCTCTACATAAAGATATTATCCACAGTTACTTAAAACATTCGTTTCGAAGTCTCATGATATCAATGATCATAAGTTATATTTCATGTAGTGTACCAAAAATACCCCACACAACTCATAGAATAAAAACTACTTACCAGACTCTGTAGAAGATACAATGCATGACCTTTTCCTTAAATACTTAAATAATTTTTTAAATATCTCCCCTGCATTTTAATAATTTAACCTTAGGTATTTTCATTTTACAAATGTAGATGTGCATAAAGACATTAAAAGTCTTATAATCAATTAGATATAAAAAATAAGATAAAAATTGAATTCAGTGTATTGTCATATTTTAAATTAAGACTTTATTTTTAAAATAAAAATAATGTACATAGGTTGTAAGGAATATCAATCATTCTGTTATAGAGACACATGCATGTGTGTGTTCATTGCAACACTAGTCACAGTAGCAAAGACATAGAATCAACTAAATGCCCATCAATTATAGACTGGATAAATAAATGCAGTATATATATATGTCATGAAATACTATGCAGCCATAAAAAAGAATGATATTATGTCTATTTAGGTACATGGATAGAGCTGGAGGCCATAATCCTTAGCAAACTAATGCAGGAACAGAAAACCAAATACCACATGTTCTCAATTATAAGGGGGAGCTAAATGATGAGAACACATGCACACATAGAGGGGAACAGCAAACACTAGGGCCTATTGGAAGGTGGAAGCTAGAAACTGGGAAGTGGAAGAGGATCAGGAAAAATAACTAATGGATGGTAGGCTTAACACCTGGGTGATGAAATAATCTATACAACAAACCCCCATGACACATGTTTACCTGTGTGACTAGCCTGCCTTTGTATCCCTGAACTTAAAATAAAAGTTAAAAAAAATAGGTTTTTCTCTTAGCAATGATGTATCTAAGGCAACGGATTAATTTACAATGAGAATCAATACCGCCATGATGACCACACACTCAGTGTCTGGGATCGGTGCATACTGTTTCTATAAGGCAGAGTGGCACATAGTTTAGAATAACAAATGAAGATTGCTGGGGAGAGTATGACTTGCTGAGTTAGTTTTAAAAATGATTTTTTAAAATTAGGCTACTGATGCTTTAAAATGTACACAATTATATGATTTCTTTACGGTGATTTTTAATGCATAATGCATTAATGTGTTGATTTCACAATTCAGTCTCTGAGAGCAACATTCATATTCCTAAATTCTTAGGACTATAGCTCACGTTAACTTCAAGATAAGGATAACAGTGTTTCTGTTTACTCTTTTTGTTTGTTTTATTCTGCCTGCTAATTCTCATCAGTTCCACTCTCCTTTAACTATGACAGTAGTTGAATATATTTTAATATCTACAGAAAATTTTAATTTTTACTCTTCTATTCAAAACTATTTAGTTATTTTTGCCTCTTTCTTATTCAGCAATAATTTCAGAAGTACTTGTGTTTTTAAATTTTCAAAAGGGACATCTTTAAATTATTATTGTAAGGCCAGGCGCGGTGGTTCACACTTGTAATCCCAGCACTTCTGGAGGCCGAGGCGGGCAGATCACGAGGTCAGGAGATTGAGACCATCCTCGCTAACACGGTGAAACCCCGTCTCTATTAAAAATACAAAAAATTAGCCGGGCGTGGTGGCGGGTGCCTGTAGGCCCAGCTACTCGGGAGGCTGAGGCAGAAGAATGTCATGAACCCGGGAGGCGAAGCTTGCAGTGAGCCGAGATCGCATCACTGCACTCCAGCCTGGGTGACAGAGTGAGACTCCGTCTCAAAAAAAAAAGAAAAAAAAAAAAAGATTATTACTGTAGTTAAATGAATTACATAAATATTAGAAAAACTGAAATGTTTAGACCTTCAGGCCATATCATTCACAAACACGATTTGCTTCTTCATTGACTCAAGGTTTTTATATTAATAAATTTTTATTTTCTTCATTCAGGCCTTACATAATGTTCTTCTATTTTGTATTTATGTAGAATTATGGCCAAGATTTTTTTTCATTATAATGTACTATTGCTGGTATTCAGAAATGTCTTTATTGGAGAACTGGAATATTGGCATATTGGAAAAGTTATTTATCTCCATTTGAAATGGTCTTATATCAAGGCCATTTGTTGAATGATCTCATTATTCTTACCCATTTATATCCACCAGATCCAGTTTTATCCAAATGATTTTATTCGTTGAGGGAAGATTTATGACCTTATAGCAGGCATTGTGTGAACCTGGAAAGATATATAGAAATAAGGAACTTTTATAACCAGTGCATGAAGGCAACTTGTTCTAGTGAATGGGAAAGGATGAAAAGAAAAACAAAAAAGTGGATATTAAAGGTGGCATTGAAAAAAAGAACAAACATCCAGCCTAGAGAATCGGTGTATTACCATGCAATGCTTTATAGACTTGCCTCAAACCACTTTGCTTACCTTCAGTTATGGATTTGTGCTTGGCTGTGTTTTTCCTTGCCAATATGTGAAACCGCTCTATCTCATTTGATTCATAAAGTGTTGAACATCTTAAACATGTTTAATTGCCACATAATCATACATATTAATGGGTTACAGTGTGATATTTCAATATATGTATACAATGTGTAATGATCAAACCAAGGTAATTAGTATATCCATTACCTCAAACATTTATTATTTCTTTATGTTGAAAAAAATCAAAATCCTCTTTTCTAGCTATTTGAAAATATACACTAAGTTACTGTTAACTATAGTCACTCTACAGTGCTATCAAATGCTAGAACTTATTCCTCCAATCTAGCTGTAATTTTACATTTATTAACCAAACTCTCGCTATCCCCTTACCCTTTCCAGACAGTATATATAATAAAGTCTTGCCTTACTACTTTCAACAGGTATTATATTATTCTTAAAAATTATCATGCCAAAAAGACTTGTCTCTAGGCATCACTGTTCAGAGATTTTTGAATTTTGGGGCAAAAAATCAATCTGTGACTATAGACAGATCCTATAAAAATCATAGATATTCATTTGGAGTATAGTAGTTATAAAAGCCTTTCTTTCTACTTTCAGAAAATTTCAAGTGATGATTATTTTGGGGTGACGATGTTGAAAATGTATAGTATAAGAAAGAAGTACCTGCCCTGGGAAGCCATGAGCTGTGAGCCCCAAAACTTTGTTGGATAGTAAAAATTTTTTTTTATGTCCAGGTGCTACAAATACTAGTATTTATCTAAACAGAGTTAACACTATTTCCATATAGAACATATCTGTTTTGAAGAGGCATTGATCTCTTCCAAATAAAATAATGCCAAAATCTATTGATTTAATTGACATTCACCTTTTTAACCCCGAGCCTAGGAAATTTTCAGGCTTCATTGCACTTCTTGTCTGCAATATCTCTTTTTATATGTTTATATATATGTGTGTGTATATATATACATATATAAACATGTATATATATAGTGTATATATACATATGTACTATATATACACTCAATATATTTATAAGTTAGAACTTCTAAACAATGTATATTCAGCTTTCTGTTTTCATATTTTTTTCTAGTCTGGGGTAAACAGTATGGCAATATGTATCTGATGGGGTAACAGAGCAGTATTGTTTGCCCTATTGCTCCCTTATTTCAGCAACAAGTCACAATTGTACGAAAATACAGAAAAAAATCCAGAAAGACGTGGGGAATTACTTCTGGAGTATCACAGAACCAATAGTAAAGTTACAGCCTCTGGCTTGCCGGGGCTGTACTTCTTCACTATGTTATTGGTGCTGTTGTGCTTCTAATTTGAAAAGAAAAGGGAATTCTGTTGTCACTGGGGCAGCTTTTGGATATATGGCTAATATATATTTTTAAATTTTCTGGCACAGAGGAACATCCTATACATTTATTTACTATTTTGTTTTAAAATTTCTAAGAATATGTTTGCATATGAATTATATGAGAAAATATAAAATTTGGGAAAATTATACACAGATATATTTTTGTAGTTTATCAATTATTATCAAATAACATTTTTAACTATGAAGTGAAATCACAGGCACAAAACCTAATGGGCCTTCAATCAAACATTATATTTTCGAGCAATGTTAGCCTTACAGATGTTTTTTTCTGATCAACTATCTGGCTATCTGGCTATCTGTCATAGACTTAATTAGCTCGAAGACCAAGAATTCACTTTATTGTTTTTAAAGAATTTCTTATTTGTGTTACCCGGCGAAAAATTCAAATGTCAAATCTACAAGCATACTAAGAACTCAAAACACTGTTGAGAGACAACAGGGAAATGAATTTTCATCTAGAAATCAAGAGACACAGGTTCTTATCATATTTTAACATCAGGATTACATGTGTGACACTAGGAAAATCAGTTCTTCTGGTTTTCAGGTCCTTCCTTTACAAAACAGAATGGTTGGACTAAATAATCAATGCAAAAATATTTTGATATTGTCACATAGTCATGTTTAATGGCTATTGGATATTGTAGAACAAGAATTATAGAAGTGAAGTGGTGATTGTTACATTTACCATAATGAATAATCATATCCTTGGGCTTATATAAGGATCAGAGTTCAAATAAAATTTTAAGATTGTTGAAATAAATTATTTTAGCTCTTCTACTTTCATTTTCTTTTCTATGATTATGTAATCTCATGAATTATGATTAATTTATGAATAGTAGACAATATATTATGCTATGCCACTGTAGCGGAAACATAGACTCCAAATAGATTTTTCTAATGGCAAGGTGAACATAACCAAAGACTGATGTTTGAATTCATATGGCTTTCTTACATGTAGAAATTGCCTTCTAAGAAAATTAGCTCAGCCCCATTTGAATCAAACTTTGGAATGTGTGGTAAGATACAAGGGAAAGTTTTACCATTGCAGAGCCCAAATTTTGCTGACTAGGACTCTGCCACAGTACCTCCTGATTCAGAAAAGAATAAACAATATACAAACTAAACTCTGCTGAAGTAATCATTTTCATTAGCTCGATTTTCATCTCACCCTGAATTGACCCTGGAGCTCTATTTATACTTAAACTTTAAGTATAATTGTGAAATACGGTAAATGAGGAATACATGAACCTGAGTAAATTTACAAAGTCAGCTCTGTAAAAACAGATTCTTAGAGGTCAAACTAAACTAATATGTAAATCTGTAATGGTTTTCACCTCCAGAAATAGAGGTTATTCTTTCCCTCAAAATAATTACCATCATTCTAGCTTTGTAAGTATGCATTGTTATTGCTTTGTAAGACAAGCTGATTTCAAATCTTGCTTTTCCTCTGTTTTTTAATCCTTATTATAGTATTTTTATGTTGCTCTATTCTTCTTTTAAAATGTTTCTATTTTCTTAATGCAGAAACAATTGATCTTGATGGAACAATCTTGTTTTTATATAAAATTTCAAGCTGGTGATGACATGTGTAAAAGGAAAAGTGCTGCAAGCAGTAAATGCTGTTCAGTTTGCAGTCCATTACATCAACATATCTAAATGATCCTCTTTAGCCCAGTAAGTACCTATACTGTGCTTACTCTTTCCAAAATGTTTTCCATTTCTTTAAAATCCAAGTTGATGATAACTCTTTCATAGGGCAGAATTCAAGTAAATATTGTAAAGGAATAAAGACTTTGCAATGACCTTTCTATATGTGATTATACAACGCAATCCCAAATTATTTGAAGAGCTAAAGATTAGGCACTCTAAGCTGGGAGTTGAATGAGGAGACCTAAGTCAACAACGATAATTTACCTTTTATTTTTTAATGTAGAAAGTATTTGAACTATCATGTATATTTTTCTCTATGTTGCTATTTAATACTAATAAGACTTGCCCATGACTAATTTATTTTTTGACTGGCAATTTAATTATGAATAAGCCAACAAGATTATCTCATACTTCAAAGGAATAGTCATTTTCCTAACAGTCTTTGTATTATCTGATGTATATTTAGGGAAGTTATCACACTAGCTTACCACCAATTATAGTATTATTGATATAAAAAATTAAGACCACATAGAGAATGATTACAGAAAAGTAACTACAAGACATTTGAGGTTAGTTGTAATGGAATTATTAAATGAAAACCAAAGAAAGTATTTGATTTAGATCAGGCAAATAGAATCTTCTTGACTCAAGGCTCCAACCTCATTTTATTCGATATTAAAACATTAAACTAACTAATTAGTAGTTCCAAACACATTTGCTAAAAATCTAATCATGTTTACATTTTAACGAAACTATGGCTTCCATGCTCTTCCAGATTTGATATCCAAATACTGTATGCAACTCCTCAATTATCTAGCAAAGCAACTGACAGCAAATCAAGACAAGGTATAGGAGACTATAACACAATTGGAGAGCACATGCAGTTCTGAGAGAGAGAAATGGAATGTTAAGACTAATAAGACATCTAGCATGGTTCTTGGAACAGTGGGAGACAGATTGTCTGTTGCTTGATTGGAAGATTGATGCAATGACAATGTATGAATGGCTGACTCCACTTGGCTAGCTAGTATAACCCCGTTTGTAATGCAAACACATTCAATCGCAATGTTACTATAAAGTCCAGTACCAAGGCAAAAACACAAAGTAGAAAGACATCTGAGCAGCATGTGAATTATAATGTTAAAGATTTCACCTTTGAGTTATTTCATTTACTGAAGAATAAATAGGTTTATTCACGTCTGGATTTATTTTGCTTACTAGCTTAGCCACAGATACCCATAATGCTTGTCAATCAACTATGCTGGTTCTCTGTGGCCATCACAGTGAGTATTTTTATAAAAAATACTGTGAAACAGATGCACACATAATAGGAATATAATGGTAGGAAAACCATTTCTGCCACCTAAAACTATTCTACAGAGAGATTCTTGACTTTTAATAAGGTAAAGAGAAAGGATTCCATAAGCTTTAAGTCTTATAGTATTTATATTTTATTCATACTTACAAAAGGGATTATATTGAGTATTTAGAATTCTTTTTTTTTACTTCTAATGTAATTTTATTTTACTAAGTATTTTTAGGATTTTCCATTTATTACCTTTTAAAATTTTCATCCATGAGAACAGAGCTTTCCATATTCAACATTTCTTAAGCTATGCATAATTTTTATGAAGTTCTTATTTTTTAATGGTTTTTTAAAAAATTTTATTATTATACTTTAAGTTTTAGGGTACATGTGCATAACATGCAGGTTTGTTACATATGTATACATGTGCCATGTTGGTGTGCTGCACCCATTAACTCATCATTTAGCATTAGTTATATCTCCTAATGCTATCCCTCCCCCCTCCCCCCACCCCACAACAGTCCCCGGTGTGTGATGTTCCCCTTTCTGTGTCCATTTGTTCTCATTGTTCAATTCCCACCTATAAGTGAGAACATGCAGTGTTTGGTTTTTTGTCCTTGCGATAGTTTGCTGAGAATGATGGTTGCCAGTTTCATCCATGTCCCTACAAAGGACATGAACTCATCATTTTTTATGGCTGCATAGTATTCCATGGTGTATATGTGCCACATTTTCTTAATCCAGTCTATCGTTGTTGGACATTTAGGTTGGTTCCAAGTCTTTGCTATTGTGAATAGTGCTGCTATAAACATACGTGTGCATATGTCTTTATAGCAGCATGATTTATAATCCTTTGGGTATGTACCCAGTAATGGGATGGCTGGGTCAAATGGTATTTCTAGTTCTAGATCCCTGAGGAATCGCCACACTGACTTCCACAATGGTTGAACTAGTTTACAGTCCCACCAACAGTGTAAAAGTGTTCCTATTTCTCCACATCCTCTCTAGCACCTGTTGTTTCCTGACTTTTTAATGATTGCCATTCTAACTGGTGTGAGATGGTATCTCATTGTGGTTTTGATTTGCATTTCTCTGATGGCCAGTGATGATGAGCATTTTTTCATGTGTTTTTTGGCTGCATAAATGTCTTCTCTTGAGAAGTGTCTGTTCATATCCTTTGCTCACTTTTTGATGGGGTTGTTTGTTTTTTTCTTGTAAATTTGTTTGAGTTCATTGTAGATTCTGGATATTAGCCCTTTGTCAGATGAGTAGATTGCAAAAATTTTCTCCCATTCTGTAGATTGCCTGTTCACTCTGATGGTAGTTTCTTTCGCTGTGCAGAAGCTCTTTAATTAGACCCCATTTGTCAATTTTGGCTTTTGTTGCCATTGCTTTTGGTGTTTTAGACATGAAGTCCTTGCCCATGCCTATGTCCTGAATGGTATTGCTTAGGTTTTCTTCTAGGGTTTTTATGGTTTTAGGTCTAACATTTAAGTCTTTAATCCATCTTGAATTGATTTTTGTATAAGGTGTAAGGAAGGGATCCAGTTTCAGCTTTCTACATATGGCTAGCCAGTTTTCCCAGCACCATTTATTAAATAGGGAATCCTTTCCCCATTGCTTGTTTTTGTCAGGTTTGTCAAAGATCAGATAGTTGTAAATATGTGGCATTATTTCTGAGGGCTCTGTTCTGTTCCGTTGGTCTATATCTCTGTTTTGGTACCAGTACCATGCTGTTTTGGTTACTGTAGCCTTGTAGTATAGTTTGAAGTCAGGTAGTGTGATGCCTCCAGCTTTGTTCTTTTGGCTTAGGATTGACTTGGTGATGTGGGCTCTTTTTTGGTTCTATATGAACTTTAAAGTAGTTTTTTCCAATTCTGTGAAGAAAGTCATTGGTAGCTTGATGGGGATGGCATTGAATCTCTTATGCAAGATTATAATGTTTCTATAAGCATTGCATTTTGAATTCTATGCTGAATAGATATTTGCAAACCGTGATGACTCATATTAAACTATAATTTATATTTTTTCCAATTTTCCATTGTGAATTCTCTTTGTAACTTATTCTAATGCCTTAAAATGTCCTAAGCGAAGATCATTATTATACAACGTAATAAAGATTTTCTGCTTCAGATGAAACTAGTCTTTTTTTTTTTCTGAATGTAGAATATCTGGTCATTATTCTTTATAATTTATGCTTAAATTCTTTTGTTAGGTGAACGTTATTAAGTACCACATTAGTCCTATATTTACAGTTTCTGTAAGTAAATGTTTGGGAAATGAATGAGTTTCTTACTTAAAGCAATTTTTTTCTTTCATTTGAGTTTTGCATTTTCTACCTATAGTGTTCTTGTGCAATTATGATACTTCCCTTACTAGATTTGTTTTCTTTTTGAATTTGTTTTCAGTGATCTGCTTTCTGATTTAACAATTTGGATAGAAATTAGGAGAATGGTAAGATGGTGGCCTGATAATTTATGATAATTCCATATTCCTTGCAGAAAATTTAAAGAATAATTGAACATGGTTGGTGCATAGTAGGTACGTCAGGAGCATCTAAGACTGCATTCTTTTTCGTTCTTGAAGTATTTATACTTTTAAAGTTAAAAATGAACTCTGTGATTTTGTATACACTAACTTTTTAAAGTATCTAAAAAATATATCAGTTTGCCTCACTAAGATTGAGCCATTACTTACCAATTCATTTATCACTCACTTTTTACTTGTCTTCAGCCTTATTCTTTTGACTGTACTTTATCACTAATAAAGTTCTTAATATTTATTCTTTATTTAAAGAGACATTTCTGTAAGTAAAAAGATCCCAGAAGGACTGAAAATATGAAATTTCAGAAAAATATATATAAAAATTTATTAAGTTCAGCAACAGTAATACCAATTAAACTAGTATTTAGGAGAAATCTTGTCAAACTGATAGAAATTATAGGTAAATATATACCAACAAATACTATCAAAAATACATTTGGAAAATTAACGGCAATTTAAAAAAAGTAATGTACACTAAAACAAATTAAAAGTAAATTTAATAATGCAATTAATGTTGATAAAACGAAATATTGCTTAAATTGATCCAAAAACAGAGGTTAATTTTTGGTGCTTGTTCTTTCCAAAATAATAAAAATAAAATATTACACAAATGTCTAGTAATAAAAATCACAGGGAATTAAAAAAACATAAAATTAGGAATAAAAAAGGAAACAAAACTGTAATGTAGTAGAAATTGAAATATATGTAAAACAATAACCAGGATAAATTGCATGCCAATACATTCAAAGACTGAAATGTAACTTATAGTTTTATAGGAATATATTAATAATTTTAACTCATGAATTTATAGCAAACAAATAAAATATAGCCATTAAATAAATTGAATCTGTAGTAAAACAGTTTTATAAAGGACACTTTTTATTGGTATGTTTACTAATCCAAGAGGAAGTTAGTTTCTATTTTACATGAAATATTTCACATAAAATGGGAAAGATATCTAACTTATTTTTATACCAAAATTGGAAAAAATACAAGAAATTTGCAAACATTTTTTCAGTTAAAAATTTGAATACAAAATATTTTCAGACAAAATGAAGCAGAGTACTAGAATTTATATATCAGGATAAAGTAGTACAAATACCGTGAATATAATGTCATTCACCATCACATAAATTTATCAATGTAATTCACCTCATGAACATAAAAAATATTTTACCAAATGCAACAACTCTTCTTAATTTAAGAAAAAAAGACAGGCAAAACAAAAAACTTGGTGAATTAGGGGTAGATGAGATATATTATCTGCTGAAAAATTGTAGCAAATACACTTTTATATGTTTTGTACATTTGCACTTAGTGTTTTGTTTTTTAATTAATTTATATATTTTTAAAATTATAATATTGATTTTTAAATTTCCAAGGTAGATGTGTTTGTGTGTCTATGTGCCTGTGTGTGTCTGTATGTGCATACACATGTATTTGTGGGTTTGTGTGTGTGTGACAGGAATAAAAAATCAGAGAGAGAGAAAGTACCAAAAACTGGCTACCTCTAGAATATACACTGAGTTTGGCAAGAGAGAAGGGTGTGTTGGAATTTTCTTATTTTATTGTGTACAATATTTAATGTTTGTATATTTATACAATATACATATATTATTTTCTTTATTTTGTTTTGGAAACTTGTGAGTTGTTTATTTCTGGACTCTTTCTTTTTTAAAAACTTTTAAGTTGAAGGGTACAAGTGCAGGTTTGTTACATAGGTATCATGGGAGTTTGTTGTACAGATTATTTCATCACTCAGGTATTAAGCCTAGTGCCCATTAGTTATTATTCTGATCCTTTCCCTCCTGCTACCTTCCACTTTCCGATAGGCTACCATGTTTGTTTTTTCCCTCTACGTGTCCATGAGTTCTCATCATTTATTAGGTTGGTGCAAAAGCAATTGCAGTTTTTGTCATTAAAAGTAAGAGTTCTCACTTATAATTGAGAACATGTGGTATTTGGCTTTCTGTTCCTGCATTAGTTTGCTAAGGATAATGGCCTCCAGCTCCATCTGTGTTCCTGAAAGGACATTATCTCATTCATTTTTTACGGCTGCATAGTATTCCATGATATATATGTACCGCAATTTCTTTTCCAGTCCATAATTGATGGGCATGTAGGTTGATTCCATGTCTTTGCTATTGTGAGTAGTGCTGCAATAAATATGTGCATGCATGTGTCTTTATGATAGAATGATTTATATTCCTTTGGGTATATACCTGTAATGGGATTACTGGGTCAAATAGTATTTCTGTCTTTTGGTCACTGAGGAATCACCACACTGTCTTCCACAATGGCTGAAGAAGACATTCATGTGGCCAACAATCATATGAGAAAAAAAGAGCAGTATCACTGATTAGTAGAGAAATACAAATCAAAACCACAATGAGATAACATCTAACACCATCAGAATGCCTATTATTAAAAGTGAAAAAAATAAAAGATGCTGGCGAGGTTGTGGAGAAGCGACACTGTTGGTGGGAGTGTAAACTAGAAAAGTCTATTTCTGATGTATTGACAAATCATGATTCAGACTATGGCAGTCAGAAAGCCAGTCCCTGTATTAGAGTAAATTTATCATGGAATAGCCTTTCTAGGAAGAGTCTTGGGAGGCAACATGATAGCCTTCTCCTGGTGGTATTTGACTTGACTGCTGGGTGCACATGACTTTTCTTCTGTGATTTCACATTTGATATTTAATAAATATTATGATAGAATGGTGAAATTTTGATTTGTACGATAAAATATATTGAGAAATTATGGTATCAGCAATAAATTAATATGTCTATTTCTCCTACGTTCAAGAAACGTAATTGCTCTGAAGTGCTTAAATGTGAAAATAAACAAGCTAGATGAAAATGCAGGTGAAAATTTGCCTCATCTCTGGATGAAAATCACTTTCTGCGCATAAAAGTAATAAAATAGGGTTGAGCACGGTAGCTCACACCTGTAATCCCAGCACTTTAGGAGGGCAAGGCAGGCAGATCACTTGAGCTCAGGAGTTTGAGACAGCCTGGACAACATAGTGAAACCCTGTCTCTATTAAAAATACAGGAAATTAGCCGGGCATGGTGGTGCATGGCTGTAGTCCCAGCTACTCAGGAGGCTGAGGTGAAAGAATCACCTGAGCCTGGGGAGGCAGAGGTTGCAGTGCACCGAGATCCCGCCACTGCACTCCAGTCTGGGTGACAAAAGTGAAACCCTGTATCAAAAATAATAATAATAATAATAATAATAATAATAATAATAATAAAATATAAAAAAGTTAATAGATTTTACCTCAACACATTACAATTTTATCTAAATATCAAAAAGTTAAAACTACAGCTGAAAAAAAATTAACTATTAAAAAATAAGGAAATACGATAGTATCTATAGCAAATGAACATTCAAAAGAAAATGTCAGGCCAGGCATTGTGACTCAGGCTGTAATCCCAGCCCTTTGGAAGGCCAAGGCGGGAGGATCACTTGAGGTCAGGAGTTCAAGACCAGCCTGGCAAACATGGTGAAACCCTGTCTCTAATAAAAATACAAAAATTAGCCAGGTGTGGTGGCGGGCACCTGTAGTGCCAACTAATTGGGAGGCTGAGGCATGAGAATCACTTGAACATGGAAAGTGGAGATTGCAGTGAGCTGAGATTGCACCACAGCACTCCAGCCTGGGCAACAGAGCGAGACCCTGTCTCCAAAAAAAATAAAAATAAGTCAAAACCCACTATTAATAGACAAAGACCGTAAAAAATTCACAAAGGAGGAAATATATAGGATTAATAAAATTATAAAAACGTGCCCAAGGTAGTAGTAAAATAAACACAACAACACAAAAATGAAATATCTTAACTGTCAAATTAGAAATAATTAACAACGATATTAATATTTAAAGATTGAATGAGACAGGTAAAGTCTTATACTAGTTGGAAGGTAAAATAACAAACTTTTTAAGAAGCAATTTGTTGATATTTACTTAATTTTGTTGATCCATTCTTTATAAGGAAAAGTGAATTCTATGTCCTGCAAGAAAAACAGTTGCAATCTCAGGCAGTCATTCCAAAAGATACAAAAAATAAAGAGCAATATTAAACATGCAAATTCGTATTACTAATATTTTGTTGGTACTAGTACCTGTGAAGTTATCACCAAGCTACTTTCAGAATAAGTCTGGCAACAAATCTCACCTAATCTCCCTCTTCCTCTCCCTCTCTGTCTTTGGTGGTGATAATGATGAATGAGAGGTAAGAAACTAGTTCTCTAAGTGGAATACACACACAGGGTGTGCATGCACACACACACACGTTGCAGTTTGGATTCTTTGGGACAATTGGAGACCATGTCTAAATGTCTAGGTTTTTGAGAGTGTGCTCTAGAGAATAATTAATATTCTTAATTACTTCTTTTATTCTTGCTCTCTTAGCTTGTTTCTCCTTTCTTCTGTTCTGATCAATTCATTGTAGCACATAGCACATTCTCATAACCAAATATCAAACATGATTTTAGCTAGAGAAAGTATTTGAGTCTTAACATACAGTATTATAATTCTTCCTTAGAGATAATTTCTTCTGGAATTACTAGACTTGTGGTGTTTGCCAAGGGCATGCCTATGGGGAACATGAAATAAAGCAGCAGATTTAACTTTAGGTGACTGTAGAAGTAACTAGTAACTTTTATGCCACATGAAATATTTACATGGTTAAAACAAGCTCTCTCATATCAAGTGTTAGGCCTCTCTGTGGGCATTCCTAGAACATGTGGATTACTCATTTCTTAAGGGTTTCATCTCCCAAAAGAAAAAATATTGTACATGTTTATATAAGAATTTAGATATATTAGCATACAATCATCCTTTGGGTTCCTTGAGAGGATTGGCTCCAGGACTGCTTGAAGATAGCAAAATTTACAGATGCTCAAATTTCTTATATACTTATCTCTATCCTGGGACTGCAAGAAAAATGGAGTAAGCAGAGCATTGACTGGAATGACTGTGAGACCATACGTGACAAGGCATGTACAATAAGGATACTTTTAATATGACATTCAATCATTAAGAACTCCATCTTTGAAGCCTTAATAAGTTTCAGAATCTATTCAAGGAGTTCAATATGTATTGACTTGTTTTATCCTCACAACGCCACAAAGATAAAGGCACATTTATTATCCTTATTTTAAAGCTAAGAAGATTGAGTTAGAGAGTTTTGCTTGCCCAAGTTCACCCAGATCTTAAGTGACAGAGCAGGATTCAAATCCAAAAACTTCGTTTAATATACTGATATCTGACTTCATTTCAGTGAAGGTATGTGCACATCTATCCAACTGCAGTTAATTTGGCATTTATTTTTAAGTAAAGATTTTGTAAAATTTATTATCTGGTTGATTATAAGAACAGCTGATGAATCACTATTTTAAAATCTTCATAGTTTCCATAAATAAGCTAATTTCCTTTAGCTGCTTCATACTGGAGATTTTATAGAAGCCAAAGAGTTGCCAGTACAGTGCCCTCTTTTATGTATACTTAACCCAGAATGTAGGACAAGTTTGAAAATCAAGGTGCTCAGAGTACGTTTCTGGAACCTCTTCACTGAGTAGCTTCTGTGCATGGAAGAACTGTGACCTGAAGAACAGGAGTATCTGTGATAGACAGAGGCTGTGTAAACCTTTCCCTTCTGTGTATGGACACAAAACCAGGTCTTGCTTGCCAGTAGATGTTGACACTGGTGAGTGAGATAACGAGGGAGTTACCCCTCCCTCCTGCCCCTCCAGTATCTCATCTCTAACGTGATTATTATAGCAGTTCTCTAAAATTCTTTCCAGTTAGAAAATTTATGCACTTAAGTTGCTGTGAATATTCTCACTGAATCTCAAACTTCCCTAGTCAGAGACTTTTAAAAGGCTACCCCTTGGCACTCCAAGATTGTTAAATTCAATAAAATGCTTACCATGAATTCTAAAAGTGTTGCCAATGTGCCATTCAGATATTTACAAAATTTTCTCTTGACTTGAATAGAAAATACCTTACTTCTAAATTGAGATCCTTTGCTTTTGCTATCAGAAAAAAAAA
The DNA here is from genome assembly GCF_000001405.40 of Homo sapiens. Taxonomy (NCBI): domain Eukaryota; kingdom Metazoa; phylum Chordata; class Mammalia; order Primates; family Hominidae; genus Homo; species Homo sapiens. The sequence continues at coordinate 178,347 of NW_021160014.1, forward strand.
TGTTCATGGGAACTAAGGAAGTAATAAGAGGGGAGGGGAAGAGAGAAAGAGAGAGATAGGAAAAAAGGGAGCTGGAGAGATAGTGCTGGTTCATAGCATTGCAGAACAAAGCTAAATGCTAACTGTGACAGAGTAAGGTTTATATGGCTATCACTTCCCATTGAAGTTACAGGTTTCATTTATTCAAAATGTTTTTAAAGCAGTCAGGTATTCAGCCAGCCCAAATAATAAAAAAAAAAAACTTGTATCTTCCTCAAAGAATGAATTTGATTCTGATTAATGAATAGCAGAGAGCTAGCTAATTTTATTTTTATACTAAATTTCACAGCATTGAACGCTCTTGATAGAAAAATCAATCACGTAAAATACCTCCTGTCTTCAGGAATAGAATATCTAAAGTGCTTCTGAAGAGAAAGGCATTAGATTTTAAATAATTGAAAACAATTTTTTCAGACAATTCATCTTCTTTAGAATTGTTTACCAAATAAAGGCTTAGAATAAAAACGACAGTACATGTGAGAATTATCTTTCCAGGAAAGGATCTTTTCAGGAAAGGATCAAGGAGAGAATACAAAAGGGTAGCATAGGAGGGATTTGAAACTGTCATGATGACAGATAGTACAAAATTTAGATAGGAGAAAATGTATAGTCATTGATACTGTTTTGTTTCTGTTTGAAAATATGGAGAGGTAGACATGTTTGGAAGTGATTGTAATACAACTTGAAGATAAGTTGATAATGAAGGAAAAAGAGCTAGGCAGTAAGAATGATGGGCATGATGAAATGAACAAGAATTATTATTGTCTCAGAAAAGGAGAGAAAAGGGAAGAGTGAAAAGAAAGGCAGAAAAGTAATTTCAGTGGTTTTAATATCAATTTAAAAAACACATTTATATTTTCAGGAGTGAAAATAAAGGAGACATGACTTCAGGAATCTTCTCATAACTGTTCCTTCTGGTGCTGCTGTTAAATAATCAAATTTCACCACACTTCTGCCTAATAGTAATAGTGAGGGCAGTGACCCATGCCTAACACCAAACTGTAAACTATCAAAGTTCAGAAAATACCTAACTAAATCACAGAATGTCTGTTAGGAATAGTTGTTACAAATTATTTGAAACTGGACCAAATTTTAATAAAAAGAATCCAAATAGGTTATATTACTTGAATTTGTTGATTTTTAAGTATTTTAACTTCTAAAATTATTTTATATCCCAATTAATTAAAGAATATAATTTGATGTTATAATTTCTAAATTCCAACTCAGATGCACATGAAATATGGCAGTATGACAAACTTCAGTATTGTAAGAACTCATCTACATCTTTATGAAATTTAAATTGTTCTGAGCATATTCTGAAAGCATTTTCTGTGAAAAAAATTAAGATTTTAGTTATCAACAAAACATTCATTTCAATATACAGAAAAGTAGACAATATCATTCAAGTGATTTTTTTCATTCTTCTTGATAGCAGGAGTATAATGATAGCCTTGTTAATAAAATCACTCTAACAATGTTATTTCTTATAGTCGTAGAAACTACAAATAAAGTATCATATGTAAAGTAACTGGTACAGTACTTGGTATAGCATAATTATTTAATGATTGGTTGATAAATACATTATTTAATATTAGCCTCATTGTATTCATTCATCTACTTATCGATACACAATTTACATATATACAAAGCATATATAATGTAAATATATACATATATGTACATGTGTAGATGCACATATGTAGATTATTTTAATTTGAACCTGTGAAAGGGCACTGAATAATTCTGTTGCATATATATTTTGTGTCGAATTTCTTTGTAGGAAAATATTTAGGTTCTAAATATCAAGGGCTGCAATCATTCGCTCTGTGCTCTCTCTGTCCCAAGTGCCTGGCACATAGTAACATGCTCTATTGATATTTATGGATTGAATTTGAAAATGAATGCAGTGTTCTGAAGAGGCACATTTCCTTTAGGTATCTTAATATGCTTCATATACACTTAATACCATGGTGTCCTACTGGCTTTCCTCCATCTTTCCTATGACCTTATCAATGTATGTCCCATATATTACAGCCACACCCATCATATTTTTGCAGATAGGGCTTTTCTTTCTGAAGTTTTGTCATCTGTTTGTTCATAAGGTCTTCATTTTCTGTAAATTTTTGTCACCTAAAAGCTGCCACAGTCCTTCTCATTATTTATATTGCATTAGCTTCCTTTTGTATAATTATTTAACTTTTGGGATAATTATCTCTAATTTCTTAATAGACTTTGAAATTGAGAGCAAATACTGTGGCCCATATTCCTTTATTACAATTTATATTATTATTTATTACATTTATTTTCTCCAGTAAGAGCTCAATAAATATTTACTGTCTTGGGAAGTTTCCCAAAACAGAAAATTATTTCTCAATAATATACAATGGTGTGGGGAAATTGTCACTCTCATATACTGCTTGTGGGCAGTAAATTTAGTTTAGTTAAATAAATATCATTAGATAGGCCTCTGTGAAAACCTCTGCCCCTTTTCATCTCAGCCACTGTGAGAAGTTTCTCCATTTGTTCTTATGGCAAAGAATGCATAATCCTAGCACTTGACTGTGTCTCTCAATACTCTGAAATTTCTTTGAGAATGAGGACAGAGAAATGTTCTTGTTGTTCAGCGCAATCCCTATATAGCATTCACTGAATTAATGTCTGTTAAGTGAATTCTAAAGTTACAGAAATTTTCTGCTTAATTTTTTTATTATCTGCTATTACATTAACAAGAAATATTCTAAGATCATATGATGTTGGAGTGACGAAAATAGTTATTTTCTAACACACGAACTTTTTGTTAACCTCATTATTCCTTATTTTATGCAGTAAAAATCATCTGAATGTACATAATTTTTTCTTTGTTTTGGGGGATAAATTCTACTTTAAATTCAACTTTCTATGTCTTACTACAACTAGTAAATGTAAGATAATGAAATTTTTCTCCTGACTAGAAGAAATAATTTTATGCCAATCTAAATACAGCACCCATCCGGAGGGGGCAAACTGATTTCCTCACATATACCAACACTGCCTGCCAGCAAAAAGTTTAGTTCCAATCTGTCAACATGTTTATCTAAAAAACAGTATCTGTATAATTATTTGTGCATTTTGCTGCATTTTCTTAATAAAAATGATTAACAGCAGTGACAAGAAGTATATCTCATAAACTGAATGCAAATTAAACAAAAATAAAAACACTGTTTCTCAAAATGGCTAGCCCTAGTTAGAAGATGCTTGGGATTTAATTCCTCCATCTGTGAAGGAAAAGAAACGAATTGTTAAATGCATGTGAAGTATTATACTAAAGAACTATTATCAATAATTGTGTCTAAAGTTAAGTTTAATTAAGGAGGTTGAAACATTTTAAGCTCTTTTAAAACAAAACCATGTTCATAGCTTCCAATTCAGTTGTTCAAATGTTAACTATTCTTTCAAGAAAAATTTCAAGGACCCATTAATATTGAAACCGACTATACAAATCCAGATTATTATCTTAGTCTAGCCTCGAGTTAAAAGTAAACTCTGGGCAACCCCTTAGCATACAACTAAATAATATTCAGAGTATTATTCAGAATGAATAAATGTGGAGTAGACAACTAAGTAAATGTTTGACTATGTAAATAATGAGAAAATAAAAAAATAAATAAAAGTCTGGCTTTTCCCACAATTGGGAGCAATTTGATTATACCTATTCAAAAGGGGTAAGATGTGGGGTCAGTACATAACCTACCTTATAAAACCATCCTAAATTTTCCTAGAAAACATGAAGAGCTTGTTCTTATTTTGATAGATACAAACTTATATGTGCCCCCATTTTAGCATATATTAGCTTGAATTATAACTGGTTTCAAGTCTTTCTTTATTCCTTTTTTTCCTTCTAAGACTATGGATATTTTGTGAGAGGAGCCAACTCTGCATTTCTTTTTCTTTTCTTCATTATAACTTTTGGATTAGGTTCAGAGGTGTATGTGCAGGTTTGTCATATAGGTAAACTGCGTGTCCTAGGGGTTTGATGTACAGATTATTCCATCATTCAGATAGTAAGAATGGTATCCAGTAGGTATTTTTCTAACCCTCTCCCTCTTACCCACCTCCACCCTCAAGTAGGCCTTGTTGTCTATTGTTCTGATCTTTGTGTCCATGTTTTCTTGTTTGGCTTCCACTTATAAGTAAGAACATGAGATATTTGATTTTCTGTTTCTGCATTTGTTTCCTTGAGATAATGGCCTCCAGTTCCATCCATGTTACAGCAAAGAACATGATCTCATTCTTTTTTTCTGGTGGTGTAGTAGTCTATGGTATATATATATATATATATATATATATATATATATATAAACACTTTTTTTTAAATCTAGTCTACCATTGATGGGTATTTAGGTTGATTCCATGTCTTTGCTGTTGTGAATAGTACTACAACGGACATATGCATGCATGTGCCTTTATGGCAGAGCAATATATATTCTTTTGGGTATTCTTTTGGGTATATATCCTGTAATGTGATTGCTGGGTCAAATGATATTTCCGTTTCAGGTTCTTTGAGAAATAATTGTCACACTCCTTTTCAGGGCAGCTGGACTAATTTACAGTCCCACCAGCAATGTATAAGGGTTCCCTTTTCTCTGCAACCTTGCCAGCATCTGCTATTTTTTGACTTTTTAGTAGCAGTCATTCTAACTGTTATGAGATGGTATCTCATTGTGGTTTTGATTTGCAATTCTCTAATGATTAGTGATGTCCAGCATTTTTCATAACTTTGCCTTTATTTATGTATCCTTATCACCTAAAAGATACCACACATTTACCAGGTGTTCAGAAAAATGTGTATTGAAAGAGAGAGATAAAAGAAAAAAGTTAAAGCAAATAAAGAAAGATCCAAGAAGCTTATTAATGGTAGTATTTTCACATATTTGCTGTGAAGTATGAGACAAAGGTTAGGGAATAAAAACAGCTCTTACTACACAGCAAAAGTATGCATAGATGTTGATACTTTTTCCTTCGCCTCTGTTGGTATAATTGCAGAACTTTTAAGTAGTTCAATAGGGAATTCAGGATTACTGTATATTTTGTTGGGAGAAAAAAAATGTGAGATAGTTAATTTGTAGCTTTGGATAAATTATGTATTCTAATCTTGGTGCTGATTATTGCAAAATAATCATTGTGCTATAGTGTGCTAAAATATTAGTTGAAAACTAATTGTTGTGAACTTTTTATCTGCACCCGGTGAGATTCCTATGAATGACTAAAAGGCTAAGCAGGGCAAAATTGTTTAGTTAGTTAGCAAATTAATCTATAATGCATAAAATGCAAGCTTCTGCAAAGCTCAACCTTTTGGCTAAAGATTTTAGGTCACCACATTCCATATTTTGATCTCCATGACATTCAGATAACTGGTTGAAATGTTAAAAATTCAGTCAATGCTGAAGTTGTTTGTTTATACCTACCTCATGCCAAACATCTAGTTTGACATTTGGTACTGAATTGTCAGAATTGATCATTTGTCTTGACATCAGGTGGTTACACTGATACACGTCTGATACACACATGCATGTGCACACACGCACAAACATGTACACAAACAGCGATGGCTTTTCTGCTTTATAATAAGTTTTATTCATTGTAGGAAATAACAAAATCCAGGTAATTGTGAATGTAACTGGTTTCTGGCATGAGTTCACCTTCTTAGGTTTCAGGCAGAAAGTAATTTTATAGTTTTCTGTTAATTTCAGTTTCTGAAACAAAATGCTAGGGTAATCCCATGCTTTTAAGATAATTTTTAGTAAGTACAAATTCTTTTGGTCACTATTAGTTGCCAAAACATGTTCCTTTCAGTAGTAAATCCCCATCTACTGCATAAATGAAAATTCCAGATTCACATCTTTCTTGGAATGTTCTCATCCCCCATGTGCCAGCCTGCCTCTGAGTGGACAGTGGATCTTGAGGCAAAGGCAGAACTGGCTTCTGTATTGCTCCGACTTCTCTCCTAGCCTACAACTGCTTCTGACACCTACATGGTTAGGCTAGAACAGCAAGTGAAAAGAACAAGCTTTTCATTATCTGAATCAATTGCAATCTGGGATCTGGTTTGTGTGTGTGTCAAATGGACAATTTCTAGCTCTTTCTTTCATGGGAAAGGGACTGCTGAGATGTCTTTGATGTGGGTCTGCCTCCCCTGAGGGTGGTTGCTCAGCCCTCTCCTCAGCCCTTCTGGCAGAACTACTTCCGTTGTGCTCTCTTTAGTCCCAGTGGTCATTGTTGTTAGTGTCTCTTATAAAGTGATTACAGACAGCCTCTCTGTTGCCGGGTCCACATTTGGACCCTGGAAAACATTCGCCATTGCCTACTCATCAGCGGAAGTGCAACATTCGTCTAGGTCAGCACTTCACAGTTGTTCCTTCCCAGACATGAGAAGTGCCAGCCACGTAACCTTTCCTCCTGACTTCTAAAGGGTGAGTCAAATGGCAGTCCCTATGTTCTGCAAATTCTAAGATCATTGATCAAACTCTGAGTGATCTTGTTGAAGCTCCCTTCACCTGAGGCAAAAGGAAGCCACCTCCATGTGCGGAGCACATGAAGTCTCTCAAAATATTTCCTTTTCCCAGCCTCCTAAACACCAATCTCTTTCATGAGCCATATCTTGATGACAGACCAGTTCTAGCCGAACTCGATTTGGACTACACGTTTTGCAAATCCTGGAGAAGAGGTGCAGCAACTCCTCATGATGCAATGTTTGTAGAATTGATTGGTTGTTCATTTTAGACTCTAGAGTCTCTTTGAAAAAAATGCTGAACAAAGAAGAAAATTCACATTTAGTATCCAATTGCATAAAGAAAACCACAAAAATTACTATCCAAATACAAATGTTACTTATTTTTCATTCTTTTTCTCTCCTTTAATACAAACACAATTGAATTAATATTTTAGGTAGGGTTATATATATCATTTGTTGTTACTCATTGTTGCTTATGAGGTCATGAGCATTTCTCCACGTTGCTAAATATTCATCCAAAGTGGAAATATTTAAATAATCGAATAGTATTATTGGGTTTTGTATATGGGGATCAGATAACTTCTTTCTAGTTCGTAATTGCTGGGCTGCGTGGAGCCATGCCTTGACCTGTTAAAGAGGATATGTCTACAATCCGAAATTCCTGAGCATTGACTGAGCTGGGCCAGTGACTACTACTGGTTCTCTGCATTGGCTCACTTGGGAAGGAAATGAGTGGTTTTTAAGTATAGCTGGGAGAATGAAATGGAAATGTAAGCTATTTCTCTTTTCTTCTAATCTGGAACAAAATTACATTTTTGAGCCTCTTTAACAGGTAGATACAGCTGTGGGAGTAAGGCGTGGGTAACAGAATGTAGGCAATCTGTCCCATAAAAACCTCCTCGATGATCTCTACTGTCTTGTTTTCTCCATTCATGTTTGTTAGAGTTCCAAGCTTAAAGCCGTATTAGATGACTTTGTGTTGAGCGTAGTAGAACTTTTTTTTTTTTTTTTTTTTTTACCTTTTTATAGCAGGCTCCTGTTACAGAGCAAATAGGCTTATAGCCCAATGCTCACAGAAATTAATACCTATGGTTCTGGCTTTCAAGAAAAGCTGTATTGCAAAAACAGCCAGTTGAAAGGCTAATGTTGAGCTTAAATATATGTACCCAATTTGAAGTGTGGGGCACATTTTAAGAGATCAGAGGTCAAGAGAAAGGATTTAGGAATGTTGGCTTGGCAGGGTCTGATTAGAGGGCTTCAAATTTGACCACTTACAGTAAGGTATGTTGAGGCAGATCTTACCGCAGATCTTCTGGGCCAACAGACTCCTCACTTCTGAAAAAGTTCTACCATTCAGGCTCCAGTCATGTATCAATCTTCTTGGCTCTGAGGGGAAGAATCATTTATTCCAGGTGTTGTTAGAAGTAAAAGCTTTTGCTATTGCGCATGCCCAGGCTGCATAACACAGTTTTTAGCTCTGTCTTATTGAATGATAATTTTTTTTTTGTATTTGAAAATAACCCAACCCTAAATCAACAGAGATCTCCAAATGAAGAAAGCAATACTTTTGCATCAATTTACCTTTGCACTGCTTCTCAGTAAACTTCGTTTCCTGGAATTCTTATAAATAAGCAGGAATATATTGTGATATATTGGCACTGTGAATTACCAATCATTATAGTTAAGAGCATATTCTAACAATAAAATGTAAAAATAATTGGCCAGGTAAAATAAATGTAGGGTTATTTTTAAACTAAATTAAAAAAATAAGACATTTGTTTAAGAGATTTATCTATGTTAAAAAACCAAGGGTGGCATAAAATATAATTTTGGAATAATAACTTTAAAATTTGAATGTGATAAAATTAAAATTTGAATGTGATAAAAATAGGCATGTTAGCAATATTTGAACTTCAGCCAATCTCTGATGATTTTGTAAGTAAAATTTTTAAAAATTAAGAAATTTACTTAAAAATAATTTATTTTGTTTTATGTGGAAACTACAAGAATTTTTATTTGAATCCAAATTTAGCCTAGTAGATTGTCATTCAGCTAATTATAGGAATACATTTGTGAGTTATGGGAGAGTTCTTGGATTAAAATAGAGATTCTGTACTACTAACATACTGACTGAACAATTATAACTCTTGGTTGGGGGTCAGAGATTTAACAAGAAGTGAACTTAACTTTATCAACAGTTTAAAGCTAAGTTAAATATTAACAATTTATATTTTTCAAAATTCTTATTGTCTTGCTGATAAAAATTACAGAACTATCAGAATGAATTTTCCACATCAGCCACAAGAATGACCTTCCGGCATACAAGACACTTCTTCCCATGTAATGCAAGGGAAAAAAAAGTTCAGGTAAGGGAGTTCTCCCTAGAAACCACGTAATCTCTGTCACTTCCACTTTCTGTTTGGAAGGAGTTCTTATATATAAATTACCTGGTATTTCACAATGTGATATTGCCACATCTCATTGGTATGGGCAGCCAAACCTGCTCTGACAGGTGAACAAAGATTCTATACTACCTAGTGACTGAATGAACTAAATTGTGTCTGTTGAGGGTCAAGGATTGAATGTTGACATAGAGATCTAACCAGAAGTGAACTAACACAGACTTAAGAAACCAAGAGAGGGTAAAAATGGAAGCTGTGAAACCACAGAAACCATGGGTAAGCAAAAGCCACAAGGGGGAGCAATAGGGGAGAGAGAGTAGGTGATCACTGAAATTGTCAGTAGACATAAAAGCAGAAACAGAATAATTGAATCACTGCAAAGGAAACTATAGAGCTCTAGGCATTGAACACCTGCTGGTGAGGTGAGAACATGATTACTAGGTAGCTAGAACTGAATACAACCTGGAAAGAATTATATAACTTCATTACACATGAAGTCATGCAGCCATTGAGACTCTAAAGTTCTCTCTTACTTCTCTGGTGGTGCGGAGGTGGCTTTAAAACAATGCCTCATTAGCTGCAATTATGTACACACATCTCTTTTACTCAGAACCCATCTGACAATTCTAACACAAATGGCTAGAATGCTTTTGAGTAGTCGTTTATTTCATGATAAATTATTGTAATTATACTCATTCATTCTTGATTATAACAAGTCAGAACATTTATGTTTCAATTGTTTTATTATTATTCTGTCTTGTGAAAATTTTTATATTTCTTTCATAGATGAGATAACAGAGATAGAGAGGTTGAATACCTTGCCCAAATATCTCTGGCAAGTAAATGGAGAAGAAGGGTAAATGCATGAATATAAGTGCATATGATTTTTGCAAAAAATGAGAACATACTCCTCAATTTGTTCCATAAATTGCTATTTTACCAATTATGTTATATAGTTATTCTTCCATGTAAGTATACATGTTTCTTCCTCAGACTTGTTAACTGTTGAATAGTATTTCATAGCATTGAAACACTGGAATTTGTTTAACCATTTCTCTACTTACGGCTTATTTATTTCCAGCTTTTTATTCCTGGAGATGTAGCAGGATATCAAGTGATGGCTTATTTATTTGCAGTTTTTCATTCCTGGAAATGTAGCATGATATCAAGTGAGACTTTTCTCATGCCTAGATACAAATTCACAATCTATGGAAAACTATACTATAGAAATCTGGGACTAGTCTTTCTCTTAAAATGATTTAGAGGTGGCCCAATCCTTCCTTAGAATGAGTACTAAATAGGAGGAGAAAGAAAGAACATTGTAATTGTGAGTTGTCAGCCTGCCAAAGAATACTGAAACTTTTCCTTCATAAATTGGGAGTATGCTCATATGATTTTGCTTACCCTTGGTTTCTGTGATTTCACACCTTCCATTTCGCCCCCTCTCTTGGTGTCTTTGAATCAGCATTAGTTCACTTGCTGTTAGATCTCTATGACAACATTCAATCCAAGTTGAGTGAGAAAAGTCCAACATTTAATCCACGTTGAGGGAGAAAAAAGTCCAAAAATCCAGAAGGATTCTCTGAATTTGAAGATGCCTGAGGAAGGGAAAATGAGCATCCCATTCACAGCTGTACATCTGCAAACATTCAGGTCCTCAAGCCCACTCCTTGCCAGCACCAGCCTTCTTTATAAACCACGATGTAAAAAGAGTTTGCCCTGACAAACATACTTGTCAACGGTGGTTGATTTAAAAATGCCAATGGACCATCCAGGATAAGAAAGAAAGTAACCAGTAAAGAGGGATAAGTAAATGCCAATAAGATACAAATATTTTATCAATATTTTGTATTTTTCAGTACTCTACCCTGCTCCATTACCAGAAAAGAAGAATGTAAAGGGGACTTAAAGAGTAGATAATGCCCCTCCACCATCTGAGTACCTCAAGCCATACTTTAACCTGTTCTGAGAAAGGGTAGGACATAGTCTTATAATTGGATTTGAGATACTGGCATTCAGTGCGATAATATAACCCCTCATTCAGATCATCTTTCCCACTGAGAGCAACTACAAACTCCAGACAAAACAAAACAAAAACAACTAGCTAAGTATTCAGTGATTCAGTGGAGTCAAACTTAGATAAATGACAAAAAAGTAGTCAATTTCCCATTTTCTTGCAGTTTTTCCCTGCAGGCTGACCACAGACACAGAGCAGCTCATCACAGGCAGCTAATTTTGCTAAAAACCTCACTTACTTTCTGGACATAGAAAAAAGGAAAAGGATCCTGGACAACCATGGCCAGCTGTCAGAAAGTGAGGGGAATTCTCACAGGAGAGAAAAAATGGAGGATGAGATCCCATGATTCTGCATATGCACACAATCTCAAATTGATCCATAAACCACATCATTGGGGACGAACTCAAATCAATCACTTCAGCAAAGGCTTAAATAATAGGATGGAGATTCGAACAAGCATCCACAGAAGATGAGACTGAGCTAACAGAATGACTTGAAAAGATGAATTATTAGCTAAAACAAAAGCATCAACTTAGAGGAATATAAAAGATCCTGGATTGAATACAACATACTATCCACAGTGCCATAGTCCAAAATTATCAACGTTAAAACAAAATGAAAGTATATGTCATGACAAAGATTTGGAAACGTGTTTATAGGCCTTTCATTTACAATAACAAAAAAATTGGAGATAACCCAAACATCTATCAATGTAAGAACATAAAATCAAAGTATGTTCAATAGAATACTGAAAAAGTCTGCCTGTGCCAAGTGTTGGTAAAGATGTAGAGCAACTGGAACTCTCATATATTGCTGGTGGGAATGTAAAAGAGCCCAGCTACTTTGAAAAACAGCTTGGCAATTTTATAAAAATTTAAACATATGCTTATTACATGTTTATATGAAACCCAGGCATATTTATCCAAGAGAGATGAAATCATATGTCTCTATCAATTTTTGTAGATAAATGTTTACAGCTACATTATTTGTAAAAGCTCAAAACTGGAAATAGCCCAAACATCTATCCACAAATAAATGTATCAAAATGTTTTCCATAGAATGAAATACTACTTGGCAATAAAAAATGAATTATCAACACATGTAACAACATGGATGAATCACAAAATAATTACGCTAAATGAAATAAGTCGGATACAGAAAGCACACATAATATATGATTGCATTTACAAGAATTTCTAGAAAATGCAATCTGACCTATGTAGATCAGTAATTGGCTGGGGACAGGAGTGATGGGAAGATCAGGTTGATTGCAAAGAAGAACATGGAAAATTCGGGGGAGTGAAAGAAGTGTGTACTGTCTTGATTGCAGTTATTTCACAAGTGTATCGCATATTCCAAAACTTACCCAATTATGTACTTGACATATATAGTTTATTGTACATAAAATATAGTTCAATCGAGTAATATAAAAATGTAGATTTGAGATAAAATTTAAACTGTAATTAACTGGAAAGTTCTGGACATGTCCTGGTTGTAATGAAAGGGACTGCTACTCAGCTGGCAAAAGAAATTGAGTGCAGTGTGATTAGAAGTAGTAAAGAAAAATACTACTGTTTGATGGTTGTAGCCCAGAAATTTCAAACTGCTAGATGCCCTAGATATCCAGATACTTCACTCATGACCTTTACTCATGTTACATCTTGATAAATACTGCCAAATAGCCCTTCCAAACAGTTAAACTAATTTTAAAGTCTGACAAGAAATGCTTGTGACTGCTCACTTCCCCCTCTGCATCATCATTAATACTAAATAGTTACAATCTCTTTATGGAGCGAGATGATCAATGAAAAACTTAAAATAAAATGCAAAGTAGGAGCCAAAAGGAATAGAGAAATCCAAAACTTGAAAGGTCATAAGAGAGGGAGAAAAAGTGAGGGAGAGAAGCTTTCCAAAGAGTCAATGTAAATAATGTCAAATGCTGTAGAGAGGTCAAAGTTTCTATTTTATTTAAGAACACGTAAGCTGTCAATGGTTTGGATGAAAGCAATTTCAGCTATTGGTGGTGAGAACAGAAAGTTGATTATCATTGTTGAGGGGTAAATGAGGTGAATGAGAGGAAACATAGTCAGTTTTACTGTTTTTTGTTTCTGGAGGATTTTTTTTTAAAGAATTTTACTGTGAAGGGAGAAGATAGTCACTACAGTATAAATGTTATTTTTTTTAATTTAAATTTTTGGAAGCGGTTTTACTTTGCAAATGACAGATACTTGAGTATGTTAAAACATTCATGAGAAACTTAATGGCAAGGTCATTTTTGTGACAGGAAATAAGAGAAATTTGATGTAATGAGATTCCAAGTGAATGAGATTCAATATGATTTTATGTATAATTTTAGGATAAAGGCGTTGCCATTTTAGTATTTGAGAGGAAGGCAAACATTTATGTAAATGCAATAAATTCGGTAGATCTGGAATTCTGATGCTCCTTACAAATGGATCTTTTCTCTGAGAATTATCAGGCTATTGTAGGTGCTGCATATTGTGAGGTTGAAAAAAAAGATTCTTCAGAATGGGAGAAAGAAACAATTTGACTTGGCAAGTATGAAAATTCAGCTCAGCACTGCTAGGGGTTTCAATAATCAGAGAGGATATCCCCAGTCCAGGTATCTGGAAATAACCACAGGGTTTATCTAATTCCTTCTAAAGCTACAGTAGGATTTATTATCTTTTAATCTGCACTAAGGAATGAAAACATTTAAATGTAATGACATGGCAAATTTATGGCATCTATGCTCATAAGTAAGTACAAATAAAATAATATACTTTATTTCCTATGATGGAACTAAACTTTTCCTTCAAATATTCCATTTTAATTACTAGGACAAATAAGAGAAAAATATTTATTTTAAATTTGCCAATTACTGGTATCAGAGTCTTGAGTATAAATAATCTAATTTAAATGGCTCTTTATTTTAGATAATTCTTAGTCATGTTCTTTTTTACATCCTTGCCCTTCAGCTTTCCTTCACTTTTTCATTCCTTTCCAAAAGTTTGTCTGAGTATGTAGGTGATTTTTACGGCAGTAACAGATGTTGTTCAATCATCAAATTGATAATACCCGGGGTGTGAACAGACTCAGTTGCCCTTTTGAATCACTGTACTGGCACACAACACTGTAGTCTTGGTCCTTTTTTTCAGTTAAAAAGTATCTACATATCACTGAAACCCAGATGCTATCATTTCATCTTCTTTGCAGCACTGACAAGGCACACATGAATTTTTGGACACAATCTAGACAACTCACTACTCATGGGAGTCTCTCTTGGGTTAATCTAACTGGGATGTTCCTTCTGCTAATGTAGTGCTATCCTCCTCCCTCAGTAATGAGTAGGACACTCATGTGGATGCAGCCTCCTCTTAGCATCCTGCTGTCTCCCTCAGGCAAGGCCAGAGGAAGCAGGCCACTAGCCCGCTGTTCTTGGAATCCTCCATGCCCATTTTGATATTTTCTAGTTATGATTGGCACCAGGGCAGGGCAATAGGTAGAGGTAGATGAGGATGTCTACAACAGGTAGAGATACATGAGGCTGTCAAATTAATTAATTAATTTAAGATCCAAAATACTGCTCCCCTTATTTTTATTTTCTATAAATTTAATCTAATACTAAATTTTACATAATAAAACATAAAGACTACATGAGGTATTAGAAAAATGAACTTCCAATTCTTTGTCAGTAAGTAGCAGGTGACATTATTTAGTCCAGTAAAGATATTTAGAAACTAGTATCTTTCGCGGTTCTCTGTAGATTCCTCTTCTTCCACTTTTGTTATTCTTATCCTTTGTCTCACAGGTTTTGACCCAGTGCTCACATTTGCCAACATATCTTTATCCCCAGCCTGTGCTTTTAATCAGAACCTTAGTACTGTCTAGTTAAGTAGACTGTCCCATCCAGCATAATATTCAAAATACAATCTGCTTTCACTGATAGTGCAAGAACAGCTGTAAAACCTTTCAGCTCCTCTCTCTTGATCTTTCTCAATAATTTGTGAACTTCATTTTCATAATCAAATACATCTTTTTCAAATACAAATATTCTGTTTTTTTTATGGTGACTTTAAATGATCCTAGGCTGGAGATAGTTTTTGTTTGGATTCAAACTCACAGTAAATTCTCCCATTAGTTAAATATTGAAGGAATTGATGGTGCTGTACATTATCTCTCAATCATGATTTCAGCCAAGTAAGGCATGTTACCATCTAACCATTTCACTCTGCCATGGATGTTTGTCCCATATTTGCCTACTCAGCATCCACCCCTGCTTTCTATATCTGTGAGTCATAGTTTAGGACAAGACTCCAAGTACGTCCACTGAGAGGAGCCACTTATGCCCTATTCCCACCATATGACACCTAGGGCATAAGCATGGGAGCTGGGATGCTGAATCTGGCCTGAGTGGAGGAAAGAATAATGGAGCAAATATGCACTCACAGTGGCTGGCCTAAGCAGTGTGGTATCCACCAATGGTGCTCAATGCTAGCAGCTGTGGATTACTGCCAAATCATGGTTTTTAGTTTTCAATTTTCTGTATTTAAATCTTAAATCTAAAAAAAATTAAGTTCTCTTACACAAAATTCTTTCCATATATTCATATTTGCTCCTCATTCTTTTTTCTTTTTTAGATATTTAGATTGTTTTTATTGCTTCTTTTTTTAATTGTACTTTAAGTTCTGGGGTGCATGTGCAGAACGTGGAGTTTTGTTACATAGGTATATACGTGCTATGGTGGTTTGTTGCACCCATCAACCCATAACCTACATTAGGTATTTCTCCTAATGTTATCCCTCCCCTAGCCCCCCACTCCCTGACAGGCCCTGGTGTGTGATGTTCCCCTCCCAATGTCCATGTGTTCTCACTGATCAACTTCTACTTATGAGTGAGAAACATGTGGTCTTTGGTTTTCTGTTCTTGTGAAAGTTTGCTTAAAAATATGGTTTATAGCTTCATCCATGTCCCTGCAAAAGTCATGAACTCATTCTTTTTTATGGCTACATAGTATTCTATTGTGTATATGTGCCACATTTTCTTTATCCAGTCTATTATTGATGGACATTTGGGTAGGTTCCAAGTCTTTGCTATTGTGAATAGTGCTGCAATATACACACGTGTGCATGTGTCTTTATAGTAGAATGATTTCTAATCCTTTGGGTATATACCCAGTAATGGGATTGCTGGATCAAATGGTATTTCTAGTTCTAGATCCTTGAGGAATCGCCACACTGTCTTCCAGAATGGTTGAACTAGTTTACACTCCTACCAACGGTGTAAAAGCATTCCTATTTCTCCATATCATCTCCAGCATCTGTTGTTTCCTGACTCTTGAATGATGGCCATTCTAACTGGCATGAGATGGTATCTCATTGTGGTTTCAATTTGCATTTCTCTAATGACCAGTGATGATGAGCATTTTTTCATATGTCTGTTGGCTGCATAAATGTTTACTTTCGAGAAGTGTCTGTTCATATCCTTTGCCCAATTTTTGATGTTTTTTTTCTTATAAATTTGTTTAAGTTCTTTGTAGATTCTGGATATTAGCCCTTTGTCAGGTGATAGATTGCAAACATTTTCTCCCATTCTGTAGGTTGCCTGTTCACTCTGCTGATAGTTTCTTTTGCTGTGCAGAAGTTCTTTAGTTTAATTAGACCCTATTTGTCAATTTTGGCTTTTGTTGCCAAAATTGGTGCTTTAGTAATGAAGTCTTTGCCCATGCCTACAAACTGAATGGTATGGCCCAGATTTTCTTCTAGGATTTTTATGGTCCTAGGTCTTATGTTTAAGTCTTTGATCCATCTTGAGTTGATTTTTGCATAAGGTGTAAGGAAGGTGTCCAGTTTCAGTTTTCTGCATATGGCTAGCCAGTTTATCCAATAACGTTTATTAAATAGGGAATCTTTTCCCCATTGCTTTTTTGTGTCAGGTTTGTCAAAGATCAGATGGTTGTAGATGTGTGGTGTTATTTCTGAGGCCTCTGCTCGGTTCCGTTGGTCTATATATCTGTTTTGGTACTAGTACTGAGCTGTTTTGTTTCTGTAGCCTTGTAGTATAGTTTGAAGTCAGGTAGCGTGATGCCTCCAGCTTTGTTCTTCTTGCCCAGGATTGTCTTGGCTATGCGGGCTCTTTTTTGGTTCCATATGAAGTTTAAAGTAGTTTTTTCCAATTCTGTGAAGAAAGTCATTGGTAGCTTGATGGAGATGGCATTGAATCTATAAATTACTTTGAGCAGTATGGCCATTTTCAAGATATTGATTCTTCCTATCCATGAGCATGGAATATTTTTCCATTTGTTTGTTTCCTCTCTTACTTCTTTGAGCAGTGGTTTGTAGTTCTCCTTGTAGAGGTCCTTCACATCCCTTGTAAGTTGTATTCCTAGGTATTTTATTCTCTTAGTAGCAATTGTGAATGGGAGTTCACTCATGATTTGGCTTTCTGTTTGTCTATTATTGGTGTATAGGAATGCTTGTGATTTCTGCACATTGATTTTGTATCCTGAGACTCTACTGAAGTTGCTTATCAGCTTAAGGAGATTTTGGGCTGAGATGATGTGATTTTCTAAATACACAATCATGTCATCTGCAGAGACAATTTGACTTCCTCTCTTCCTATTTGAATACCTTTTATTTATTTCTCTTGCCCGATTGCCCTGGCCAGAACTTCCAATACTATGTTGAATAGGAGTGGTGAGAGAGGGCATCCTTGTCTTGTGCCAGTTTTCCAAGGGAATGCTTCCAGCTTTTGCCCATTCAGTATGATATTGGCTGTGGATTTGTCATAAATAACTCTTATTATTTTAAGATACGTTACATCGATACCTAGTTTATTGAGAATTGTTAGCATGAAGGGGTGTTGAATTTTGTCAAAGGGCTTTTCTCCATCTATTGAGATAATCATGTGGTTTTTGTGATTGGTTCTGTTTATGTGATGGACTACATTTATTGACTGCATATGTTGAACCAGCCTTGCATCCCATTTTGTTGGAGCATACACTTAGGGTTGAACTTCCTCATTCTCTGTCCTAAATAAAGTCAGTTCCTTTGGGGTGAGCTGCAGTGCATTCTGTTCCTGTATTCTTTCCCCAAGGAAAAATTCTGATTTATTGCTTCAGAGTTATGATCAAGACAATGACCAGATCCTCTTGGAGTTACATACCTGTTTTATGAGCAGAGTTTTCAGCATAATCCTCTCGTCTTCCCAGCTTGCCTCTCCTCTGTGGAACTTCCATATTATGACAGAGTTGGGTCAATGGCTATTGCGGTATTAGTGTTCTTGGTCTGTGATGCCTGGAGTTAGAGCCTCTGCTCTAAGGATGGGTGCCAGGTGGAAGATTGGGGCTTGAGATATCTTGGCTAACCTCATTTGGAATTTAGCCTCTGCAAAACAGAGCTCAAAGAGATGAAAAATGATGGCAATCTGCTTTTTCTGGTGACATATAGTAGCCATTGATGGGGAGCTGGGACAAAAAGAATTCCTGTCTTGGTGTCCACACCTGCCTAGTGGAAAGTCTGTCATGCTGAGGGGGAGGGGTGGGGGCAGAAGGATTAGGCTGTAACTCAAGTCTGACAGACTAGCTGTTCTTACAGAGATTTAGTAAATTTCCATGACTAAACGTTTCTTGGTTTGCTCTATTCCCTTGTGGCAATTTTCAGGGACTTTGAATGTTTCTTTGTGTTTTTTTAAGTAATTTTCACCACTTAATGGTTTTTCACTGGGAATAGGTTAAATTATTATTTATAATGTATATTAAATTTCTATTTCTAGTCTAACAGTGTCATTGAAAGCCTTTTTTATATTTTCATGCACATAACAAATCTATTTATCTGTGGAAGGCCAGATTATATGAAGAAAATATTTTCTGGTATTACTTTCAAAACGTACATACTTCTTTTTATGATTTAGTTTTTTTATTGTTTAACAGCCCTATTGTGTGAAAGGCTTTTAGAGGCATATTGAATTATGTGTTACATATCATAACATTCTAATTCTGAAGAACGGAATTTTTGGCAGTAACTTACCAAAAGATTATAGCTCAGAAATTTCTAGGATTAATGTCCATTGCTCTATCTCTTTTGTGTAAAATGGAGACAATTGTTCAGTGTTGTTATGAGGATTAAATTAATATATGCAAAATAGTTAAAAAGAGTACCCGGCACATGGTATGCACCCAGTAAATGTTGACAATTGTTGCTGTGATTATTGTAGTTGTTATTCTTGTGAATGAAGATGGCTTGGTGGTGAAACATAGGTTTAACAATAAAACATTTTTGCCAGTATAGATTTTGATTTAAAAATATAAGGAAAGTTTCATTTTCTTTTTACTCTAAACATTAGAGTTTTCTGAGAGGGTAGAGATATAAAATTAGCATTGGCTCATATTCAATCTTTCACAAAGAACAGTTATTGATACACTCACCCTCTGGTTTAAAAGCTCACTGAAATTCAAAGGAATGTAGTAATTTCTTTGATTCCAGTTCACATCATGAAGCCATCTTTTGAGAAATGCTATTGCTTAGCTTTGGAGCTGAATAGAGATTCTTTCTTTTTGAATTCTACTTCATCCATGTTTCTAATCTGTTTTCTATACTGATCTCTTTGAGATTAAACAATCTTAAATCAAAGCTTTATTTGTTTGAGCTATAGAATGTGCTGCAATTATTTAAAAATCACAGGCTTCTTCTGTACTCAGCAGCTGGTACAGATTTTGAGAAAAAGAAGTCATGAGTACAAAGGGACAACACAAACATCAAATATGATGATAAATTTGGCTTATTCACTACCTTGATATTAAATTTCCAACAACTTAACTTATATGAAGTATATTTGTATTTATTTTTTTTCCAAAAAATTATTCCAATACGAGCTCAAGAATATTGGTTGAAATTATGAGTACTATAATATTGAAGTTATTATTTGCATATGTGAAACTAATATAAACCTTTATCATTTTTCATCAGGTACTTCAATAGGATGTTGGAAAAGAAGACTTCCACTCTAATAGGATGAAAAAATGATCATTTATTTACATCATTCTGATTTCTTTTAATTGCTTCACAATCCACTATAAAGAAGATTCGCTCTGACCCTAAATTTTCTACTTTTTTTCCCACTTTTCTCTCACATAAATTAGGTGTTTCATTCTTTTTCCTCCTTATTATTTTATTTACACCATTCTGTGTTGAGCACAGAAAGGTGGAAGTATATAGCCCTGTTCTCTGTTTTTAATGCTCTGTATATTTTTGTTTCCTTTTCTGTGGAATCAGTTTTTCATTATCCTTATAGAATCAGTTTTTCATTATCCTTATAAGGAGATGCCATTTTTCTCAATCTTTCCTTAAAATCTAACTAACTTCTTTACTAAGTCATTTCTGTTCCTTATAGAATAGTGAATGTGACTGTTCTTAGTGTATTGACTGGTCCCTTTACATCAGCATTGTAACTTTTAGGTATTAGTTTACTTTCATATGATTGTTATTTCATATATCATTGTGAACATATTTTTTTCCAAAAATAAAATACATATTGACCTAAAAGAAATTGCATCTAAAAGAAAACCTGCCTAATGTGCTACATTTTGATATTTCAGAGGAATTACTTTTAGTCTAATTCTTGTAATCTATAATCCCTTTTTATATAGTGGTTTATGCACTAGTTTGTGAACTGATTGATTGTAACTGGTATGGGAGGTAAGGCGCTCACAAAAATATGTAGATTAATTATGTGTTTTTTTTTTTTTTGTAGAAAGACATTTTCTATCAAAGATACAGTGTATTTATTTCCATTCTAGAATAAGCTCTCTATTGCCTAAAATACTGGTAACAGTCTGTAGGCTGGCACTGGTTCACAGACCCCATTTTGAGGTCTATAGCATTGCTATAGAGAATTCTAATACTCTCTTTAAAACCATGTACTTGAGAAAAAACTTTATATTGCCTGTGCCTGCCTATAGAAAAAATTATAAATTTACTTTCTGTGGGTATTTTTTGGCATTCTTAAAATTACAAAATCTTGATTTTGTCAACTACAAGTGTACTGATTATAAAAGTGTTCTTTTCTTTCATAGAAATAAACATGGCTTTATGGTTGAGAAATTGTATCTTCAGGGTACAACCTAGAAAATAAATAAATAGAAATATGCTAACTTTTCAAAGGCGATATCAAACAGGGAATTGATTAAAAAGTGTTTGTTAGAAGGACTGGTGTAACAAAAGGGAGAATTGTTAGCAGAACACAGAGAATAAGTGTGTTTTCCAGAAAACTACAAATGCCACTGGACTAGAATCCAGTAACTAGTGCCTACTGCTGGTCTGCAGTAGGGCAGCTGTTCAGGGGCTGAAACTGCTAAAAATGGATACCAGAGCTATGCCGGTACTTGCTTACCAAACCAACACTAAGGAAGTCTAGCCACTGATGGAACTGCTGGAATTCTCATTCACCTAATCTCATCCAAGCTATAGCAACACCAGCAATTTCCAGCAGCTACCAGCAATTGCCACTGCTGTCTATACTAAAAGCTTCTCAGTTCTAACAGCCTTCAAATTACCTTCCAGAGGCAAGAGGCAGCATGGTGAAAGCAAGAGCAAGAGAGAGGAGAGAGCAGCCACACATTTTTAAACAAGCAGATCTCACTATCACAAGGACAGTACCAACAGGATGATACTAAACCATTCATGAGAAACCGCCCCCCATAATCCAGTCACCGCCCACTAGGCCCCACCTCCAACACTGGGGATTATAGTTCAACATGCGATTTGGGTGGTGACACAGATCCAAACTTTATCACAGGCCAAGGTCAAGGCTTGGTTGAGAAGAAGGCTCAGAGGAGCCTGACCAAAATTTGTTGTGCTTGGTATTACCAAATTAATACCAATCCATTGATGTGTCCAAGATGCCCAGTTTTTCACATTTACAAACCAGCTATGTTTTCAAATGTGTTCACCTTTGTCAACCAGATGTGCAAAATTAGGGTGTCTCCTTACAAACTTTCTGCTAGTGAATATCAAAACTCGTAAATGGATGCATCATCTTTTCTAATAATATATCTTAAATTAAGTAATTATGGATAAAGGGCAAGGCATTTATCAATATGTTGTTTATAATAGTGAAAAATGGGGAAGTAGCCTAAATATGCCTTTGGGGATTTGTTAAACAAATTGTAGCACATTCACAGGATGAAATTATTTGTAGCCATTAAAAATCACACATAAGAGCTGGCAGGGTCACTCATGCTTATAATCCCAACACTTTGGGAGGCTAAGGCAGGAGGATTGCTTGAGCCTAGGAGTTCAAGACCAGCCTGAGCAACATAGGGAGACCTCATCTCTACAAATAAAAAATAAAACAATTAGCTGGGCATGGCGTGCCTGTAATCCCAGCTACTCAGAAGGCTAAGGCAGGAAAATCACATTTTGGAAGTGAAGCTGCAGTGAGCTGTGATCACACTTCATCCTGGGCAACAGAGCACAATCTTGTCTCAAAAAAAAAAAAAAGAAAGAAAGAAAGAAAGAAAAGAAAAAAAAATCAAGCATAAAATTTTATGAAATGCCTGTTTTTGAGTTTATGGGGTCCCCTCCCCCATTTTGGTCCCATCCAAAATCTTACAGAAATTACTGCTCTTTTGCATTAAAATTTTAAATTATTCAAATAATTGGCATATATATAAAAACATGGAGACAAAAGTGAAATACTAACACTTTCCCCACTTATTCCCGTTTCTAGTAATAACTGCAGCCAGCTATGTGAAGACTAGCAGACCTTTTTCTAAAATGCATTTCATGCAGTCCTTTGGGTTTTACTTTTTTACTGAAGTAACACATGAATAAATTCTCAGTCTTCAACTGTGCAAACAACACAAAATTATGTGGACTAAACTTCCCTGTCACTTTTTGGCCATAAATACTACTGCTTTCTCTAGAGGAAACAACCATGAACATGCTGATTTCTCTCTTTTAGATCTTGTTTTAAGAATTAAAGCTACTCTAATAACTAACAAGAAAGGTGTTTTTAATTATTTTCTTTTTAATTAGCATTATGAAAATTTAAAAGAAAAAAGATTTAAAATTCTTTTAAAATTTAAAAGAAAAAACAAAAACAGATTACCTTTCAGAACCTCACATTGTCTGATCATAACAGAAAGCAAGTGTTTAAGGGAGTCTGGGAAATGTAACTTGCAGGCTCACAGCCATAGCAGTTCAGACTGCAAAAGGACCAGTACAAAAGCACAATTAATACCTTTGGCTACTTGCATTCATATCTATACTTCTATCCAATTTAAACATATATTGGAGATATATACACAGACACACACACACACACATATATGTAAACATAATGCAATATATATATATATCCATTCCCATTTTTAACCTTTATACATAATACAATAACAATCAAAAGGTCATGATTCCACCTAACAGGTTACAAGATATCCTCAGGAAAAAAAAATATATATATATATTTCTGCAGTAGTCTGCAGTTGCTGAATATATATTTATATATACATATAATATTATCAATCTTGGTAATGTCAGTATCTCTTATAGTTCAGTCATCATTTTACTAAGATATTCGTTAACACAAATAATGGCTAGGTTGAGAAGTCAAAATTAACTGTCACCCTGACTGTTTGCATAAAATAAAAGAAAAATGGTTATGTCATATATAACAATAAAGAAAACAATTATGCAGAGCTGTCAAAATCCTTACTTCTGTAACTGGTCATAAGGCCTCCTCAGTAATTATACATAATTTTCTTCCTCCAACACTGGTCCTGCTTTTTTGGATTGTTTAGTCTACCATGCTGAAGATGACAGTGAAGAGCTGTCCAAAGGAATCTCATGAATTCCCCATATCCCCTTGCGACCAGTTTTTCCTGTATGGTGTCTATTAATCACGCTAGTCAGTATAGTATTCCCTTTTTTGCCTATTAGTTTCAGTGTCAAAAGAATCTCAGATGCCCTCCTTAAAACTGGACTGGCATTGTGTCTCTTTTTAATAACTATAATGCAGCAGCACTGGCCTTGTGTTAATTTCACAGCCTAGGCCTTAAGAAGCCTTGTGACTTATGCTTTCCCTCTGTTGGAATACTAAAACCATCATGCTAACCCCATTTAGGAAAGAGAAACATGGAAATACCTCATTTCCCCAAATGGCATTCACCATCAACTGCCAGACAAGTCAGTGAGGCCAACTTGGGCCCCCTAGCTTTTAGTCAATCATCAAATGATTGTAGTTGCATAAGTGATCACTGTCAAGACCAGCAGAACTCCCCAGAATCCCATCCCACTGAGCTATGAAAAATAATAAATCATAGTAGTTTTGATTACTAATTTGGGGATTATTTATTGTGTACCAAAAGATGACAGATACACAGCATTTTCAGTCAAGAAAATCTACTATCAGAAAAGAGAAGAAAGATTGCTTTTGCTGGCAAAAAAAGTCATGGGGATATTTAGCTTTCCAAGATGATCAGATTCACCAGAATCCCCACAAATATTTACATTTCTACTCTAAGAGTTCTACTATTTCCCAGGCAAAGTATTAATTTTCATCAAAGATACCTAGCAAGAATCTATACTGCATAAATGTTTCAATTCCCAAACTTACAAAATTAACTTTGGTGTCTGATTTTCCAGTCATATTACACCTGTGTCTATAAAGATTAGACTTATAGAGATGAGAAACTATTTTCTGTGCCTTGAGCTGAAAGGTTAAATCCTTGAGGCTGATATTTTACTTTATAATTTTGCAATTTAAGTCAGAAACAGCCATCCCCATCCCATAATGTTAAAGTTATGATTACTTATTTGATGGTAATATTCAACAGATACTTGGTTTCCAAAAGCCTTGCATGTGGTTACATCCAGCTGTCAGAAGTCTACTAACATCTCTAGGTTAGGACCCAGAAACCCAAACCAGCTGTGGTACAGCTGTAGCCACTGCCACTGTAAGTGTTAGAACAGCCAAAGGGCCGAGGGCCATAATCACTGATGGTCACACATCCTTACCATTACTGTGTGACAGTACTATAGCAAAGAGAAGAAGTAAAATGTTTTCCTTTTCCTCAAACTCTCTTCACCCCAAAGTCCTTCCCATTGATATTAGATAATAAGAAATCATTTGGCAATGGAATCTGAGAAATATAGTTTATTGCCTTCTAGTCTTACAGATATATAATCAGAATACAGATGCAGTAGCCTGAGAGGTGACAAATAACCAGAAGACAGATATTTTCCACCAAAGAGATTGCTTTGAGTTTCATTAAAATGATTCTTCTATTAATTGTCAATGGCATCCTAGGTAAAGCTAATTTTGGGGGAATTAGATTTTAATTAAGGTATTAAATGAGGAATTAGACTAAAATGATTTCCAGTTTCCCTTTATCCTCTAAAAATGGCTGCTGATAAATAATGATGTATCAGTTTAGCTTTCTGACTGTATGTAGCACTATCAATAGAAGGGGAATGTAAGCCAAAAATGTCACCCACATTTGTGATTTAAAGTTTTCTAGTAGCCACATTAAAAATGGTAAAAACAAACAACTGAAAATATTTTTTATAATATATTTTACTTAATATATTCAAATTATTATCATTTTAACATGTTATCAGTACAAACACAATTTATCATATAGTTAATATACTTTTGTCATACTAAGACTTTACAGTGTGGATGTATTTTGGACTTACAGAGAACACCAGTTGAACTAGCCACAATTCAAATGATCAAGAGCTACATGTTGATGGTGGCTATCATATTGACTAGTGGAAATCATAGCACAGATATGAATAATCTTTTCTTTTGTAGACCAATGCAGTATGATACTTTTTTTACTCTTTTTCAAATAGTATATTTTATTGCCGATGACTACAAAGTATTTATTATTTGTTAAAAAATCGAAAAGCTCTAAAGTTATAATAATAGTAATGAAGTAACTTACAGAGTAATGCAAGCACCCAACTTTAAATTTATTGTACTAGAAAGCAGAATTGTAAATAACTACTTGTTAAAAGTGTAATACAGAGTTTTTTATGTATTTATTTTTTGAAACAGGGTCTCATTCTGTTGCCCAAGCTGGAGTGCACTGGCGCGATCTCTGCTCACCACAACCTCCGCCTCCCAGTCTCAAGTGATTCTGCTGCCTCAGCCTTCTAAGTAGCTGGGATTACAGGCACACCCCCACTACCACTAGGGACATTTTTGTATTTGTAGTAGAGCCGGGGTTTCACCATGTTGGCCAAACTAGTCTCAAACTCCTGATCTCAAATGATCCACCCACCTCGGCCTCCCAAAGTGCTGGGATTACAGGCATGAGCCACCACACCTGGCTTGAGTTTTTTAATATATTAAAATATAAAATAGAAACCAAAGTTTTCTCAAATAAAGTTAAGAACGATGTATAGCACATAGAGCAAAATGAAGTACAAACTTTGAAATCATAGTTTTGAATCTTTATTTCAACATTTTTTCTGTTAACTGTAGGAAGTTATGTTTTCTTCCCTCAGATTCCTCACCTGTGGAAATGAAAGTGCCATTTTATCAGGATTATGAGAATTGTCTGAGATACTGAACACAGATCATGACATTATCTTGGACAGGAGTTCGTAATATAACCTTTGTGAAAGTGCTGAACTTTAAATTAGTAATTGACAGCAATATATACAGTGAAAGGGTAAAAACTCATTTTGACATACTTAGTAAGAATAGATTAGATAAAATAGTATGACATGTAAATATATGGCGTAATATAAAAAAATTATTGCCATGAGCCATGATATATATATATATGTTTGTGTGTGTGTGTGTGTGTAAGTGGCTGCTAATGACAAAATTTGCACACACACACACACACACACATCCTCAATAGCCACATGTGTTAAGTGACTACTGTTTTGGACAGTGCAAGTATAGATTCCAAGTTTGACGTGGAATCCTAATTTTGTTCACTTTTCTTGCTCTGCGTCCTTGGACACATTATTTAGCACATGTGCTAAATAAATGAGTATGCTCAGTGGGAAGAAGAAGAGGAGGAAGAAGGAAGAAGATGGGGAGGAAACTTCCATAATTTATCGTGAGGGCTAAATGAATTATGATATTTAAGGAGCTTAGAACAGCCCCTAGCATATGTTAAACACTATGTAAGATTTTTCATTAATTGCAACATAGTTTTCTGCAAAGAGGTGATACATACCTGTGTTTAAGAGGATCAGTTTAAGGGAGCCAAGATGGCCGAATAGGAACAGCTCCGGTCTACAGCTCCCAGCGTGAGTGACACAGAAGATGGGTGATTTCTGCATTTCCCTCTGAGGTACCAGGTTCATCTCACTAGGGAGTGCCAGACAGTGGGCGCAGGACAGTGGGTGCCGCGCACTGTGCATGAGCCCAAGCAGGGCGAGGCATTGCCTCACTCAGGAAGTGCAAGGGGTCAGGGAGTTCCCTTTCCTGGTCAAGGAAAGGGGTGACAGACGGCACCTGGAAAATCTGGTCACTCCCAACCTAATACTGCACTTTTCCGACGGGCTTAGGAAACGGCGCACCAGGAGACTATATCCCGCACCTGGCTCGGAGGGTCCTACGCCCACGGAGTCTCGCTGATTGCTAGCAGGGCAGTCTGAGATCAAACTGCAAGGCGGCAGCCAGGCTGGGGGAGGGGCGCCTGCCATTGCCAAGCTGTGAGTAGGTAAACAAAGCTGCCCGGAAGGGAAGCTCAAACTGGGTAGAGCCCACCACAGCTCAAGGAGGCCTGCCTGCCTCTGTAGGCTCCACCTCTGGGGGCAGGGCACAGACAAACAAAAAGACAGCAGTAACCTCTGCAGACTTAAATGTCCCTGTCTGACAGCTTTGAAGAGAGCAGTGGTTCTCCCAGCACACAGCTGGAGATCTGAGAACGGGCAGACTGCCTCCTCAAGTGGGTCCCTGACCCCTGACCCCCGAGCAGCCTAACTGGGAGGCACCCCCCAGTAGGGGCAGACTGACACCTTACATGGCCGGGTACTCCTCTGAGACAAAACTTCCAGAGGAACGATCAGACAGCAGCATTCGCGGTTCACGAAAATCCGTGTTCTGCAGACACCACTGCTGATACCCAGGCAAACTGGGTCTGGAGTGGACCTCTAGCAAACTCCAACAGACCTGCAGCTGAGGGTCCTGTCTGTTAGTTTTCCTTCTAACAAACAGAAAGGACATCCACACCAAAAACCCATCTGTACATCACCATCATCAAAGACCAAAAGTAGATAAAACCACAATCATGGGGAAGAAACAGAGCAGAAAAACTGGAAACTCTAAAAAGCAGAGCGCCAATCCTCCTCCAAAGGAACGCAGTTCCTCACCAGCAATGGAACAAAGATAGATGGAGAATGACTTTGATGAGTTAAGAGAAGAAGGCTTCAGATGATCAAACTACTCCGAGCTACAGGAGGAAATTCAAACCAAAGGCGAAGAAGTTAAAAACTTTGAAAAAAATTTAGACGAATGTATAACTAGAATAACCAATACAAAGAAGTGCTTAAAGGAGCTGTTGGAGCTGAAAGCCAAGGCTCGAGAACTATGTGAAAAATGCAGAAGCCTCAGGAGCCGATGCAATCAACTGGAAGAAAGGGTATCAGTGATGGAAGATGAAATGAATGAAATGAAGCGAGAAGGGAAGTTTAGAGAAAAAAGAATAAAAAGAAACGAACAAAGCCTCCAAGAAATATGGGACTATGTGAAAAGACCAAATCTGCATCTGATTGGTGTACCTGAAAGTGACGGGGAGAATGGAACCAAGTTGGAAAACACTCTGCAGGATATTATCCAGGAGAACTTCCCCAATCTAGCAAGGCAGGCCAACATTCAGATTCAGGAAATACAGAGAATACCACAAAGATACTCCTCAAGAAGAGCAACTCCAAGACACATAATTGTCAGATTCACCAAAGTTGAAATGAAGGAAAAAATGTTAAGGGCAGCCAGAGAGAAAGGTCAGGTTCCCCACAAAGGGAAGCCCATCAGACTAATAGTGGATCTCTCGGCAGAAACTCTACAAGCCAGAAGAGAGTGGGGGCCAATATTCAACATTCTTAAAGAAAAGAATTTTCAACCCAGAATTTCATATCCAGCCAAACTAAGCTTCATAAGTGAAGGAGAAATAAAATACTTTACAGACAAGCAAATGCTGAGAGATTTTGTCACCACCAGGCCTGCCCTAAAAGAGCTCCTGAAGGAAGCACTAGACATGGAAAGGAACAACCGGTACCAGCTGCTGCAAAATCATGCCAAAATGTAAAGACCATCGAGGCTAGGAAGAAACTGCATCAACTAACGAGCAAAATAACCAGCTAACATCATAATCACAGGATCAAATTCACACAAAACAATATTAACTTTAAATGTAAATGGACTAAATGCTCCAATTAAAAGACACAGACTGGCAATTTGGATGAAGAGTCAAGACCCATCAGTGTGCTGTATTCAGGAAACCCATCTAATGTGCAGAGACACACATAGGCTCAAAATAAAAGGATGGAGGAAGATCTACCAAGCAAATGGAAAACAAAAAAAGGCAGGGGTTGCAATCCTAGTTTCTGATAAAACAGACTTTAAACCAACAAAGATAAAAAGAGACAAAGAAGGCCATTACATAATGGTAAAGGGATCAATTCAACAAGAAGAGCTAACTATCCTAAATATATATGCACCCAATACAGGAGCACCCAGATTCATAAAGCAAGTCCTGAGTGACCTACAAAGAGACTTAAGACTCCCACACAATAATAATGGGAGACTTTAACACCCCACTGTCAATATTAGACAGAACAACGAGACAAAAAGTTAACAAGTATACCCAGGAATTGAACTCAGCCCTACACCAAGCGGACCTAATAGACATCTACAGAACTCTCCACCCCAAATCAACAGAATATACATTTTTTTCAGCACCACACCTATTCCAAAATTGACCACATAGCTGGAAGTAAACCTCTCCTCAGCAAATGTAAAAGAACAGAAATTATAACAAACTGTCTCTAAGACCACAGTGCAATCAAACTAGACTCAGGATTAAGAAACTCACTCAAAACCGCTCAACTACATGGAACCTGAACACCCTGCTCCTGAATGACTACTGGGTACATAAAGAAATGAAGGCAGAAATAAAGATGTTCTTTGAAACCAATGAGAACAAAGACACAGCATACCAGAATCTCTGGGTCACATTCAAAGCAGTGTGTAGAGGGAAATTTATAGCACTAAATGCCCACAAGAGAAAGCAGGAAAGATCCAAAACTGATACCCTAACATCACAATTAAAAGAACTAGAAAAGCAAGAGCAAACACATTCAAAAGCTAGCAGAAGGCAAGAAATAACTAAAATCAGAGCAGAACTGAAGGAAATAGAGACACAAAAAACCCTTCAAAAAATTAATGAATCCAGGACCTGGTTTTTTGAAAGGATCAACAAAATTGATCCTTTAGCAAGACTGCTAGCAATTGATCCGCTAGCAAGACCAAGAAAGAAAAAAAGAGAGAATCAAATAGACGCAATAAAAAATGATAAAGGGGATGTCACCACCAATCCCACAGAAATACAAACTACCATCAGAGAATACTACAAACACCTCTATGCAAATAAACTAGAAAATCTAGAAGAAATGGGTAAATTCCTTGACACGTACACTCTCCCAACACTAAACCAGGAAGAAGTTGAATCTCTGAACAGACCAATAACAGGATCTGAAATTGTGGCAATAATCAATAGCTTACCAACCAAAAAGAGTCCAGGACCAGATGGATTCACAGCCGAATTCTACCAGAGGTACAAGAAGGAACTGGTACCATTCCTTCTGAAACTATTCCAATCAATAGAAAAGGAGGGAATCCTCCCTAACTCATTTTATGAGGCCAGCATCATCCTGATACCAAAGCCAGGCAGAGACACAACCAAAAAAGAGAATTTTAGACCAATATCCTTGAAGAACATTGATGCAAAAATCCTCAATAAAATACTGGCAAACCAAATCCAGCAGCACATCAAAAAGCTTATCCACCATGATGAAGTGGGCTTCATCCCTGGGATGCAAGGCTGGTTCAATATACGCAAATCAATAAATGTAATTCAGCATATAAACAGAACCAAAGACAAAAACCACATGATTATCTCAATAGATGCAGAAAAGACCTTTGACAAAATTCAACAACCCTTCATGCTAAAAACTCTCAATAAATTAGGTATTGATGGGACGTATCTCAAAATAATAAGAGCTATCTATGACAAACTCATAGCCAATATCATACTGAATGGGCAAAAACTGGAATCATTCCCTTTGAAAACCGGCACAAGACAGGGATGCCCTCTCTTACCACTCCTATTCAACATAGTGTTGGAAGTTCTGGCCAGGGCAATTAGGAAGGAGAAGGAAATAAAGGGTATTCAATTAGGAAAAGAGGAAGTCAAATTGTCCCTGTTTGCAGGTGACATGATTGTATATCTAGAAAATCCCATTGTCTCAGCCCAAAATCTCCTTAAGCTGATAAGCAACTTCAGCAAAGTCTCAGGATACAAAATCAATGTGCAAAAATCACAAGCATTCTTATACACCAATAACAGACAGAGAGCCAAATCATGAGTGAACTCCCATTCACAATTGCTCCAAAGAGAATAAAATACTTAAGAATCCAACTTACAAGGGACGTGAAGGACCTCTTCAAGGAGAACTACAAACCACTGCTCAATGAAATAAAAGAGGATACAAACAAATGGAAGAACATTCCATGCTCATGGGTAGGAAGAATCAATATCATGAAAATGGCCATACTGCCCAAGGTAATTTATAGATTCAATGCCATCCCCATCAAGCTACCAATGACTTTCTTCACAGAGTTGGAAAAAACTACTTTAAAGTTCATATGGAACCAAAAAAGAGCCCGCATCGCCAAGTCAATCCTAAGCCAAAAGAACAAAGCTGGAGGCATCACGCTACCTGACTTCAAACTATACTACAAGGCTACAGTAACCAAAACAGCATGGTACTGGTACCAAAACAGCATGGTACTGGTACCAAAACACAGATATAGATCAATGGAACAGAACAGAGCCCTCAGAAATAACACTGCCTATCTACAACTATCTGATCTTTGACAAACCTGAGAAAAACAAGCAATGGGGAAAGGATTCCCTATTTAATAAATGGTGCTGGGAAAACTGGCTAGCCATATGTTGAAAGCTGAAACTGGATCCCTTCCTTACACCTTATACAAAAATCAATTCAAGATGGATTAAAGACTTAAACGTTAGACCTAAAACCATAAAAACCCTAGAAGAAAACCTAGGCATTACCATTCAGGACATAGGCATGGGCAACGACTTCATGTCTAAAACACCAAAAGCAATGGCAACAAAAGCCAAAATTGATGAATGGGATCTAATTAAGCTAAAGAGCTTCTGCACAGCAAAAGAAACCACCATCAGAGTGAACAGGCAACCTACAAAATGGGAGAAGATTTTCACAATCTACTCATCTGACAAAGGGCTAATATCCAGAATCTACAATGAACTCAAACAAATTTACAAGAAAAAACAAACAACACCATCAAAAAGTGGGCAAAGGATATGAACAGACACTTCTCAAAAGAAGACATTTATGCAGCCAAAAACACATGAAAAAATGCTCACCATCACTGGCCATCAGCGAAATGCAAATCAAAACCACAATGAGATACCATCTCACACCAGTTAGAATGGCAATCATTAAAAAGTCAGGAAACAACAGGTGCTGGACAGGATGTGGAGAAATAGGAACACTTTTACACTGTTGGTGGGACTGTAAACTAGTTCAACCATTGTGGAAGTCAGTGTGGCGATTCCTCAGGGATCTAGAACTAGAAATACCATTTGACCCAGCCATCCCATTACTAGGTATATACCCAAAGGACTATAAATCATGCTGCTATAAAGACACATGCACACGTATGTTTATTGTGGCACTATTCACAATAGCAAAGACTTGCAACCAACCCAAATGTCCAACAATGATAGACTGGATTAAGAAAATGTGGCACATATACACCATGGAATACCATGCAGCCATAAAAAATGAGTTCATGTCCTTTGTAGGGACATGGATGAAATTGGAAGTCATCATTCTCAGTAAACTATCACAAGAACAAAAAACCAAACACCGCATATTCTCACTCATAGGTGGGAATTGAACAATGAGAACACATGGACACAGGAAGGGGAACATCACACTCTGGGGACTGTTGTGGGGTGGGGGAAGGGGGGAGGGATAGCTTTAGGAAATATACCTAATGCTAAATGACGAATTAATGGGTGCAGCACACCAGCATGGCACATGTATACATATGTAACTAACCTGCACATTGTGCACACGTACACTAAAACTTAAAGTATAATAAAAAATAATCTTTTAGATGTCTAGTTGTAAATAAAAACTCATAGTAAATTAAAAAGAGGCTGTTTACCTTTATTTTAAGCAAACTTTAAATGTAAAATTCACTTTATATCTTATAAGGAAATACAAAAGGGTCTCTGAATTATGACTTGTCACTAATCTCTTTATAAATTTCATGAAGCTCCACTCCAGCCTGGGTGACAGAGGGAGACTCCATCTCAAAAAAAAAAAAAAAAGATTCATGAAGCTCAACTGATAAGAACCAATAACCACTACATATTGAAATTCTTTTAGACTATATTCCCTGGGAAACAGAGTCTGTGAAAAACATACATGCTGAGGTAGAGAACAGAAAGCAAATACAAGGTGCTGAATTCCTAAGCTGGCCAGAGTATCACAAGAAAATGCAGTTGCATCCTCAAACATATGGCTTCTTCCCATCAGTTTATATGTAACTGTTGTTTTTTGGAACAGTCCCTGACAGAGAAGGAAGGAAAGCATATCTGTCAGTTCCTTCCTATCTTCATAGTTTACTCTGAGAGGCAGTAGTCTTATCCTTCAAAGACATTTGCAGTTGGTATTATCTGGTATCTTTGGACACATACTGCAGTATCCCATTTTTTATTCCCCATGTTGGGGCAATTCATCAGGGGTCAGAAGTGGTTAAAAAATAATAAGCCAGTGAGTCCAGTGTGGTTAGACTTCCTGCTGATGCCCGTCTCTCACTCGGAAAGGGCTGAGTGCCAGCAGTGAGAGGAGATAAGACAATAAGGACAGTGGCCCCATGTCTCCAGTGAAGAAGCTGCTAGGGCTGAGGAAGAAAACAGATTGAGCAGATCTGGAATGGTTTATGAACTGAATCTGACACATAAGTTAATTTAAATAATTACAGATGTAGCAATTTAGACATCTTTATCTAATCCTAGATCCCTACTCCAATTTTCAAAAGTAAATGCTACATGGAAGCAAATAGTTTCAGAGAGAGTAAACTCAGGGAACCAGAATCTAGTGGTAGCACTTCATGATTCAGTGTTTGTTTTTCTCCTGCTAAGAGGAAATTCAACCAATCACTAAGTGAACAAATGCATAATATACCTCAAACATCTTGCCCACTTACTATGTGTAAGATATGATATTGGACTCTGGCAAAATCAAAGATAAATAACATCAAATGGAACTCAATAAGCTTACAGCCTTTTGAAAATGAAAGACATCTAATCAACCTAGTTCCAAACAATATTAGAAGCCAAAAAACAAAAATATTCTACTTAGTCGTGCCAAAATGAAGGGTTTATCTAGTTCTCAAAGAAGGGAAGATGCCTAATATTTCTCAAAAAGGATAATTACAAATGTTCTATGTTGAAAAGTATGACAGGAATAACACAATATTACAAGATTCATCTGGGTTCTAGACTTGGTTTTATTATATTTTAGTTCTAGGGCTTCAGGGAGTGAGTTACTCTCTCGAAGATTTGTTGCCTTTATCTGTAAAATAAAGAGATCGGAGCAGACTATATCTAAAGTCAATATAACCATATATGACCAACCCACACCTAGTACATTGAACAGAAAAAAATGGAAAGCCTTTTCTCTAAGATCTGAAATAAGACAAGGATGCTGCTCACTTTCACCATCTTTATTCAACATAGTTCTATAAGTTCTAGCCAGAACAACTAAACAAGAGAAGGAAATAAAGGACACCAAAATTGGAAAGGAAGAAATCAAATTTTCCTTGTTTGCAAATGATATGATCTTAAATGTGGGAAAACCTAAAGACTCCACCAAAAACTATTAGAACTGACAAATTCTGTAAAGTTTTAGGATACAAAATAAAAGTTTTAGGATACAAAATAAACATACAAAAATCAGTAGCATTTATATATTAAAACAGCCAACAGTCTTAAAAAGAAACCAAGAATATAATCCCACTTACAACAGCTACAAATAAAATACTTAGAAATAAACTTAATTGAAAAAATGAAAGATCTCTATAATGAACACCATGAAACACTGATGAAAGAAATTGAAAAGAGGACACACAAAAAATGGAAAGTTATTCAGTGTTCATGGATTAGATGAATCAATATTGTTAAAATTCCCATACTATCCAAAGCAATCTACTGATTCAATAGAACTCCTATCAAAATACCAATGATATTTTTCACAGAAATAGAAAATAATAATGCTAACATTTACATGGAACCACAAAAGACCCAGAATAACAAAAGCTATCTTGAGCAAAAAGAACAAAACCAAAGGAATCACATTACCTGACTTCAAATTATACTATAGAGCAATAGTAACTAAGACAGCATGGTATTGGCATAAAAACAGACACACAGACCAATGAGACAGAAAAGAAAACCCAGAAATAAATCCACACATTTACAGTCAACTCATTTTTATCAAACGTGCCAAGAACATATATTGGGGAAAGGATGGTCTCTTCAATAAATGGTGCTGAGAAAACTGGAGATCCATATACAGAAGAATGAAATTAGACCCCTATCTCTCACCATATAAAAAGACATATTAAAATGGATTAAAGACTTAAATCTAAGACTTGAAAATATGAAACTACTATAAGAAAACATTGGGGAAACACCCCAGGATATTGGTCTGGGCAAAGATTTCTTAAGACTGCTAAAGATTTCTTGAGTAAGATCTAGGCAACCAAAGTTAAAAAGGACAAATGGGATCACTTCAAGCAAAAAAAGCTTCTGCACAGCAAAGGAAACAATCAACTCAATAAAAAGACAACTCACAGAATGGGAGAAAACATTTGCAAACTACCCATGTGATGACAAGGAATTAATAACCAGCATATATAAAGAGCTCAAACAACTCAATAACAATAAAAATAATGCAAATTAAAAATGAGCAAAAGATCTGAATAGACATTTCTCCAAAGACGATATAAAAATGACCAAGAAGCATATTAAAAAAGTTCAATATCACGAATCATCAGGAAACTGCAAATTGAAACTACATTGTGATATCATCTCACACCCTTTAAAATGGCTTTTATCAAAAGTCAGGAAATAAAGGAGGCTGGCAAGGATACAGAGAAAAGGGAACCCTTGTACACTGTTGGTAGGAATGTAAATTAGTGCAGACACTATAAAAAACAGTATGGAAGTTCCTCAAAAAAACTAAAAATAGAACTTCCATATGATCCAGCAATCCCACTGCTGGTATATATTTTAAAAATCAATTTATTGAAGAGATATCTGCACTCCCATGTTTATTAAAGCAATATTCACTATAGCCAAAATATGGAATCAACCCAGGTGTCCATCAGTGAATGAAGGAATAAAGAAAATGTCATGCATATGCACGATGGAATAGTTTAGCCATAAAAAAAGTAAAAATCCTGTCATTTGCAACAGCATAGTTGGAACTGGAGATTATGTTGAGTGAAATAAGCCTGGCACAGAAAGGCAAATATCACATGTTCTCACTTACATGTGGGAGCTAAAAAATATTGGACTAATGGAGATAGAGAGTAGAATGATGATTACAGAGGCTTGAAAGGGTAGTGGGGAGGGAGAGATGAAAAGAGGTTGGTTAATGGGTACAAAAATACAGTTAGAAGGAAGAGCTAGTGTTCAGTAGCACAATATGTCTACTATGGTTCACAATAATTTACGGTATATTTCAAGATAGTAAAAGAGTGGAATTGGAATGTTCGTAACACAAAGAAATGATAAATGTTTGAGGTTAAGGAAAATCTAATTACCCTGGTTTGATCATTGTACATTGTATGCTTGCATTAAAATATCACATGTACCCCATAAATATGTAAAACTACTATGTATCCATAATAACTAAAAATAAAACGTTTTAAAAATATAGTCGATTTATCCCTAAAATTATAAATTTCTTTGTGTTTTAGGAATACCTGTCTATATAATCTAAGATTTTGAGTTGCACCTTCTAAACATATCTCACATTTATATTTCCCCCATTTATTTTATTTTTGAAAATATGGTAACTTTTAAAAAGAAAATGTTTTTCCTCCCTCCTTTTTTAATGTTACAGTTCATCATTTTTTACCATTACCATTACTTGCCATGAATCTTTAATTCTAAGTCAGCTTTTCTGCCTTGAAGCAAGGCATTTGCTTACCTGGCTTTTGATTAGTGTCTAGATGAGCTCCTAATACTTTTCAAATAAACTGCACTTTACTATATTGCCTTGTTGGTCTTTCTTATAAATAACTTTTTACTCTTTTATTTTCTTCATCTTTCAAATTCTATTTTCAGATATTGCACATCTCTTCAGAAAGTAGAATTTTATTTTCCCTTTGAGAAGTTGCTGCCTTGGTGGTGATTTAGTTGCACATTAGATTAGTGATTGTTATAAATAATATAATATTAAGATAGAGTAGCATCTATATAGTCTGTTATACCTTGAAGTGGTTTCCTGACCACTTGATTTTTTAAATTGATTCTTGAAGTTAAGAAACCTGGTTTTCAAATAGAGCTACATTTAACACCCATGGTGGGGAGCCAACATGAAATTGCCACATATGACATTTAATTATAAGATCTTTATATATAACAAGTCTAGCATATGTATGTCCATATTCTAAGCAATACTGAGCATCTGTGAGCTACAAATAAATTTCTCTTAAAGATCCCAAAGTCACTCTAGGAATGAGGCATTTGACAAGTGAAGTGTGGGAACTTTTTCTCAGGTTATACTTGGTGAACTATTTCATAAAACTCATTTAGTGATTGGTTGAATTCCTCTTGGCAGGAGAAGAACAAATAGTGAATTATAAAGTGCTAACACTAGACTCTGGTTCCCTGAGCTTACTCTGTTGGAAGCTATTTTCTTTCATATGGCATTAAGTTTGAAAAAGTTAGGAGTACAGATCTAGTATTTAGGTTAAAATTTCCGGTTCTATTTTCCACAAAGTATCCAGGACAAGAACAATAGAATTATATACCTTGTCACATTAGATATCTAGTTGCTGGTGATAAATATTGCCAGATACAACATATTGCCTAGTATAAAGCAGGTTGTAGCAAACGTTGAAACAATTGTTATAGGGAAGGCAAAATTCCACCTCCATTCATTTAGGGATCCAGCTCAAGAAATAAATTTACATAAGATAGATTAAAATGAATAAGAGCATACAAATGTACTTAATACAAGTTTTACAGGTCATGCAAGCCCTCACAAGAAAATAAAGACCCAAAGAAGGAATTAGAATCAATCACTTATGTAACAAATTTGACAAAGAATAATAAATTATGAAAATGTGATAAGGCAAAGGGGCTTGAGCCAGGACAGTTAATTGGGTAGAAAAGTGGCCAGGAAGATATGAATTAAGTGTAACAAGGTTTGTACAAATTTTCTTTGGCTTCAATTTTACATCTTTGATGATAATAATGCGATTTTTCTTCTAAGATAGGGAGAACATCTTTCACATGAGACTTTCATCTCTTGCTTTTAAGAAGGCACAAAGGTCAAAGTGATCTTCTTATAATTGTTATTTTTCAATTGCCTTTAACTTAAATAATTAATATGCCAGAATTACATATTGTGGATGGCATATTCTTAACTCCTTCACTTTAAAACTGAATTAGAAAAATGCCTTATTTTGGCAAGAATTTTGTTGTTTCACTAATTACTATAACTTTTGTGCAAAGTATGGTTCCTGGCCCCATAGAAGTTGCTCAGTAAGTATTTTGCTTGTAAATATTAAAGTGAATTTTAGTCTCTATGTATATCCATAGCTATATATATATCCATAGCTTCAAAACCTCTGAGTCAGTTTCAAAATATTTGAAGACACTTTTTGTAAAGATATGAGGATTGGCCTAATAGTCAGAATAGACTTCAAGTATGGCTCTGCTAAAAATAAGATACGTGACTTTGAATAAATTATTTATTTTTGTTGATATTCAATTTCGTGATGAGTAAGATGAGTGAGTTGAAAAAGAAAATTTAATATTACATTGATAGCAAAGATTCTTTAATTTGTATTGACTTTTAAAAACAATAGCAAATGATATAAAATTTAAACATATGAGAAAGTAAAATATATGAAAAAACATACAGTGTACAGTCATGAATAAATGGAATTAAATTGTTGTATGATTCTAGAATCTTTAGAAAAATATTAGGTTGGTGCAAAAGTTTTTGCGGTTTCTTGCCATTACTTTCAATTGCGGTTTCTTGCCATTGAAAGTAATGGCAAGAAACCGCAATAACTTTTGCACCAACCTAATAGTAAAATAGTAACAGTGCTATGGTAAATGAAGAGTGTATATTTGTAGTTCATAGGCTAACCGTTAAAGAATAATACAACATATGACTAAAACATATTTTGTGTGTGTATGTGTTTGCTAAACCCTATAACAAATATTTTTAGTCTGGATAAGAAAAAATAAGAAATTTATGCAGTTACATATATATATACCATACTATAAATATTAAGGACACAGAAATATTGAAAATAAAAGGACAGAAAAAAAAATACCACACAAACACTAAATAAAAGGAAAGCTAGTCTACTAAAATAAGAGAGTACTTTGAGATGAGAAATATAATTAGCAAAAAAGAGGAACATTTTATGATGATGAATGTATTGATTCAAAAGGAAGACATAACAGTGCTAAATATGGATGCACCTGAAAAACAAAAGAACCAAATATGAAACAATAAAAGGAAGTACAAACAAATCCACAGTTGTATTTGATATTTTAACACAATGTTCTCAGTATCTGGTACAATGAGCTGATCAAAGAAATAAGGATTATGTATTATTATTATTATTATTATTAGCAACTTGATCCTGTTGGAATACATAAAACATTACTTCCAACAAATATATAACACATTCAAGTAGACATAGAAATTTATTAAAATAGACCATATGTTGAAATGTAATAAAATTTTAAATGATGTTCTCTCTATGTAAACTTAAAATAGAAATTAAGTTGTGAAGATAGACAACTCCTAAATATTTGGACAACACTATGCTAAAAAAAACTTAGGGGTCAAAGAAGAAATCACAATGGAATTGAGAAAATATATTGAACTGAATGTTAATGAAAACAGGTCTTCACTAACGGTAGCAGTTAAACAGGATTTGACTGTTAAAGATTCACAGGACCCCAAATGACAATGCTTATAAATCTATGATTTATTGTAGGGAAATAATACAAAATTGGAACAAGTAAAACTTAGGACAGTAGCCAAAGGCTGCCTCACAGTTAGAAGTCTATAGAGGATAGGCACAATCTCCCATTCTTCTCCCTATGTAGGGTCATCATTGACATTCTTCTCTCTCAGATCTTAAAGCACCAATATGTGGATGGAACACCCTTGAATCCAGGGAGCCCAAAATAGAGTGTAAAACCTATTTCCTTCTGATCATGTAGGCATTTTCATGCTGCATAGACACCTCAATGGTAGACCCCTCCAAGGTTTTACCTAAGATCAGGCACAAATAATCAGTCTCACTGTTATCAATAAACAATGCTGACAAGCAGTTATAAAGCACCCCAAACCTCACCTTGGACACATGGTTACAAAAAAACACTAATCAGTATATTCATCTCTTGACCAGGAATGACTACCATTTAAGCACATTTATTACTTCGACAAAATAGCCCACACCAATTCAAGGCCTAGTAAAATTAACCCTCATAATACAAGGGCATTATTCCACTTGCAGGGATGCAGCTGAGGAGCTGAGGCATTGCTCAGAGAGAAATTTATGATGCTAATTGTATACATTGACAAAAAGGTAGACCCCAAAGATATAGATTTCTGTCTTAAGAAGATGGTAATAGAAGAGCAAACTTAAACCAGAGGAAGTAGAAAGAATGAAATAATAAAAATAAAAACAAAATATAGAGATAAAATCTAATTGCAAATATATGATCAAAATAATCAAGAGACAGAAGATTCTTTTGTCAGGTTAACAAAAATAAAAAAGCCTCCTTCAAGTTAATCAGAACAAAGAGAGAAGATAAATGATCAATA
Source organism: Homo sapiens (assembly GCF_000001405.40). Classification (NCBI taxonomy): domain Eukaryota; kingdom Metazoa; phylum Chordata; class Mammalia; order Primates; family Hominidae; genus Homo; species Homo sapiens. Next base: position 219,696 of record NW_021160014.1, read on the forward strand.
CTGTCAATGAAAAAAATGGAATACTACTATGATAGTAAGTCTAAAATACAAACAAATTTTTGTCAATAAATATAACAGTTTGGAGAAAATGGACAAAATCCTTTGAAAAACACAACTTGCCATAACTGAAATAAGAAGAAAAACAAACCTGAATGAGTTTATCTTTATTGCAAAATACAGAACATACAATCCCAGATGATTATACTGGCCCAGGAGAAATACAATTCCAGGCCCAGATAATTATATTGGCAAATTCTTGCAAATCTTAAAAAGGAAATGATACAAACTTCCATATATTATTTCCCAAAATGAAAAAAAAGAGTGTACCCTTCCACCTCATTTATGAGGCCCCAGAATTTTTTAATCAAACCTAACAAGGACACTAATAAGAAAGGAAAATTACTGGCCAATATTTCTCATGAACATAGGCACTAAAATCCTGAAAATGACATTTGGAAATTGAATCCAGAGATATATAAAAAGAATAACTCATCATGATCAAGTAGGGTTTATTCCAGGAATGCAAGTTTGGATTAATATTAAGAAATCATTCAATGTAGTTTATCACATTAACAGATTAGTGGAATGAAGCCAGGTAATCATCTCAATAGATGCAGAAAAGCATTTATAAAAGTCGATACTTATTCATGATAAAAAAAGAACTTTCAGCAAACTAAAAATAGATGAGCAATTTTAAAATCTGATGAATGATATTGTATTAGGCAGGGTTCAACTGCAGAAACACTCCAGCAGAAGATATATATTTGAGATTTATTGCAAGAAATTGGCTTATGTGATTATGGGGCCTGCTAGGCAAATTCAAAATCTTTGGGAAGGTCATAAGGAAGGGCAAGCTAGAATACAAGGCGTGAGCTGACATTGCAGTCCACAAAAAATTTGTATCCATAATGTATAAAGAACTCCTTCAAATAATTTAAAAAGGCATACAACAACATATGCACTTCACAAAAGTGGATATAGAAATAGCCAATAAACATATAAAAACAGCTCAACTTCATTAGTCATCAGATAAATGAAAATTAAAACCACAAAACCTCATCTGCCAAAAAGACTAAAATGAAAAAGACAGAAAATACCCATGACTGGGGAGAATGTGAAGGAAGTAGAATTCTGTTAGACTGATAGTTGTGAGAACTCTTACTCGGCTTGATACAAGCACCTTGGAAAGGTGGGACTTACGTACTAAAGTTGATTGAACACAAGCCCTGTGATTCCCGATGACCCAGTAATTCTACTTAGGTCTACAAGTGGTAGAAATAATTACATGTAAATACTAAAAAGCATGTACAAAATAGTTCAAAACAATACAACTTATAAACTCCAAACGGTAACCAATCCAAATATATTTCAACAGGGAATGGACACAATATACACTATAGCAGAATCACTCAATAAACTACTCCAAGCTGAAAGAGTTTTAAAAACTTGTTATATACAAAGTAGATGAATCACACAAACAAAATTAGGCAAAAATAAATGAGTTATATTTGATATGCTTCTCTCTCTCTCTCTCTCTCTCTCTCTCTCTCTCTCTCTCTCTATATATATATATATATATATATATATATATATATATAAAATCCCAAAACTGGCAAATCTAATCTAGTTATTATACTTTTGAGGAGGGGTATAACCAGGGATGAGTACAAGCAGGATTTCTAAGGTGCTGATAATGTTCATTCTTATTCCAGGTGCTGGATTCAAAGATGAATTTAGTCTGGTTCAATTTGTTTTAAAAAAATATTGAGCTGTGAACTTTTCTCTATGTATTTATTTTAAAAATTATTATGCTTACATGGTAGCTAAGAACACAGGTTCTGGGAGTCAAATGACCTGTTCCACATTTTATTTATGGGAGATTTGACCTTTGGCAAATCATTTATCCTTCTCCTTTTCAGATTCCCCATAGTAAGACTGGGGATACTAATACTACCTACCATTTAAGGCTGTTGGGGGGAAAACAGTGAAAGTGCATGTAAAATATTAAGAAACAGAAGGTGCACAAATTTATCTGTTGTTATCATAATATTGATCAATATGTGCATATTCATGTTTTTAGGTGAGCACACATGCATATGTACATATATATGATATCATGTATGTTTTATTTATATCCATGGCAGTTCCTCCTTTTCTGTTCATCCTAATAACTCAAAATCTTATCTTTTATTGCCTTATTTCTCTCTTGCAGTCAAGTCCATAAAAATCTGGTACTAAAATGTAGTTTATGACAGCGTTATGAGAAACAGACATTGCAATAGCGCCCTTTATTTCCTTTTTCAGGCATAACACTAAATTCTATATAACAGCCTAAAGGATAATGTTGTGTCATTTTTAATTCATGTAACTGGAGGATTAAGCCATATCATCATTACAAAATCCATCTTTACTACTTGTAAACAATTGACTGGTTTGTTATCCTAAGGCAAAACCAGGTGCTGTTAGCATATTATATATCATTTATGGCTATTGTGGGGACTAGGTCATTGGCATTAAATTAGAAGAAAATAAAATACCAATGTCAGGCTTCTCAACAATAAATTGTTCCTGGGAGGTTTAATAGTATGGAGGGGGCAAAAACCAGAGAGGGTGATGATACATTGTTCTTTCTAAAATCCTGGGTGACTACATCATGGGCAGGAAACTCAAGTTAATTCAAGTAGAGTGCCCATATAATGGTTTTGACTAAACTAGGACATTCTTGAAGATGAAATGGGGTGTTAATAATTTTGCTGTGACATCAGAAGTTAGCTAGGACTCCTCTAGGCAAACTGGAAATAGGGTCACCTTAGTTACAAGGTGTCCTTTGAAGGGAAATTTAGACCTAAGTGGTGTGACTGGTGGGGCATCAGTTGGAGGGGGGCAGAAGTGTGTTACTACTTGTGGTAGGCAAAATTGTAGTCTAAGCTCTAAACAAAGTTGAATATAAAAGTTCCCTGAACAAGGTAGCGCAGCACAGATATGTTTCCTAAGTTGTATACTCTCTCAATTCATACCTAGTTCAGCCACCAGTGCCATATCATTGTGTAACATTTGAATGAGGCAATGAATCTTCATGATTTTAAAAAGATACTATAGAAAACATGTAAGAAGCAACAGGTTCCCATACTCATGGCTAGGTAAATATTGCTATGACATGGAAAACATTAAGGTCAGAAATTCTGGTCTTGACACATAATGCTCCTACTGATTATCTATGACTGATTCTTGTAACATCCAAACCACCCACCCCTCTCCAAAGAAGAGTTTCCTCATTCCCATGCCCAGTGCAGACACTTCTCCATATCCCCAGAGCACATTATGCACACCTCCATCAAGACACTTTTCACAAGGTCTCTCAAGCATTGCTTACTTGTGTCTTTGACACTTCTTTAAGGCTTTTGATAGTACAGACCATATCACATTTACCTATATGTCCCTAGGGCCAAATATACTTTCTAATGCTCAGTGCTTGGTGTCCATTAAAGCTTTATTAAATACATGACTAATGCTTGAATAAAACTTTGTATTTTACAAAGCATCTATTTCACACCCATCTATTTTACTTAAGAATTGCTCAGACTGGATGCTCAGTTAAATATATGAGATGATATTTTTATCTATTCAGAATGATGCAAACATTCTGCTAAGTTTATATTTCAATAACTGTTTACCATATTTTAAGTAAAAATCTTAATAAACTGGTTTGTCTATAACCTGCAATTCAATTTGCATGGAACAGTTAGAGGAAGAAGTCATTCAGGCTTCCATATATCTAGTAGAATGGCCATCTCAGCAGCAATGATTAATAGATTCGTTCAGTATATTCAAGGAACGTTGCAATATAATAGCAAAAGAACACCAATTTCGTATACTGCATTGTTGATCCTAATGTTTTATACATGATTTCCTAGCCCATTCCAGGCACATCAAAGTTCATTACTGACCACTGATAAACACATTCATCCTTGTCAGAGAACTTTGCAAGAGCTTCCTTCACTTTATTGTCTTATCTAACATACTCTAGCTATATCATCCCAGTGAGAACTGTGTCTTAATGCTTCCATTGTTTGCTTTGGAATATTGCTTTTTGTTTGCATCTTTATCTGAAGTGACATTTCAAAATTTTACATTTTTCTCTACACATAATGTTTCAATTAATGTTTATGTGGATGATTAGATAGAGATGTTTTAACTTATTTACTTTAGGACATCTTTATTAGATTATAAAGTTTTGTATTCCACTTAATTTCTATCTTTATAATTTTTATACTATGTAGGAAAATCTTAAAGATTTTAACAGTGAAATTATTTATCCATACATAGTTTTAAGTTTGTCTTCAATATGTGTTATTGGATTCTCAACTTTTAATTCTTGATGTTAATTGCATGTGCCTCTGTTATAGCCCAAATAAAAACTGTTGTTTATGGTGGATAATATGTATGTGTATATATGAATCTTTTATTATATATGTATCTAATATATATGTATGTGTATATACACATATATATTAGTTTATGCTTACACTGTGACTAAAAGTAGTTGGCTGGTCAAAAATGTTATATTCTATAATTTGTGTATCAGTATAAGAAAATGTAGTCAAGACCAGTTTCCTAAAAATAAATCTTATGAAGAAAAGCACAATGTTATTTATATGAGACTCTACTAAATATTAAAGATCACCTTTAAAAAAATTGTTGATTGACTTTAGCGACAGAATTATGAAAAAGGCAACAATTAATACTTCAAGTATTCTTTGATGAGCATGGACTTTTGTTCTTTAACTGTCACAATTTTTTAATATTATACAATACAACTTTCACTTTTCCATCTTACTCTTTCAATTTAAAAACTTCTTTTCTGTAGTTAGTCATACATTGTTATCTAGTATCCTTTTTTGATCTGCTCCTTGTCTTTATTCCAGAAATTTAGTTGAGCAATTCAGGGAAATTGAAGCTGTTAAAGAATCCCACAGAAATCCTGCAGTGTGGATGTTTAGGATATACTGTAGCTTTCTTTTCTGTACTATAAAGCTAACAGTTTCAGATTCTGCCAGACATTGTCATCAATCAGTGTAGTGTTGTGCTTCTTATTTTGACTTCAGTGGTATGAGTTTCTGACCAACATGGAGGCTTCCTTTGACTCTCCTTCTATTAAATGGAACATTATACTAACTTAAACTTGTTAAAAAATACAGCAACTGGATTATCAAGCATTTCCTTGAAAATTAGCTTTGCATCTCTGTATGTAGATCACTGTACCTTCTAGTATAAAATACACTTACATATTCAATGTATATACTAATAGAGATAATATACTAAAATTATTAAATCAACTGGGTTTCTACAAGGTTAATTTTACATATAAAATATATTTTATTATTTTCTTATATTAGACTTTTACATAGTTTTTCTTCTCATGCCAGTGAAAACCTAGCACTATATTTACAGAAACAAAGCTGTGTAGCAAACACCGACAGAAAATAGACAGGACTAATCAGACAACTGACTAGACATTTTTAAAGCTCATTGACTTAATCAGTTTCATTTTACCACAACAAGTTGCAAAGGACTCACTGGTTTGTTGAACTTGTTCTGAATGAAATAATGCCCATGTAACACTTTAACAGGAATCAACAAGGGAAACAACTTTCATTTCTGAGCTGCTGAATTTGCACTCTAAAACCTCTAAGGCGAGGCTTATTTTAACAGAATTGAGACTTAAACAAACAAACAAACAACAACTACATGCAGAACTGTGCGAAGAGAATTATCCCAGACTCATATGATAATGATTAATAGCCTCAGATCTAAAAGTGATAGCCTCAAATCTAAAAAGGATGAATCCAGTTTTAACTTCAGAGTGAAAAGGGAATAACGTCAATTTTTTTCCTGATATTCCACAGTATTATTCATTTAAAGTCCTATTTCAACTTCAGGATCATCTCAGTCTATTCAGGTTTGTGATATTTTCTTAATTTTTTGTTTCAAGATTTATATGTTTTCATTTTTTATTTGCTTATGGTTAACACTATTTTTAAATAATAGATTTTAAAGGTTTGTTAAACATTTTAAATTTATTATTAAATATTTCTTTAATATAAAATATCATTTGAGGAAGAAGAATTTAGACATGTACTGTCTTATAAAGGAATCTATGTCTGATGATTGTTTACTACTAAACTTGGAGAGCTAATCAGAAAATAAGGCTAACAATCTGTGTTGTATATGAGGCATAAAGAGAAGTAGACAAACAGTTAACTAGTTAGGTTATAAATAAGTAAGTAAATAGGTAGAGAGAGGTAGTTCACTAGTCTGTTAGTTATAGTTACAGGAAACAGTTCTGTTGCAGAATTAAGGTTCTGGGATACATGTGCACAACGTGAAGGTTTGTTACATAGGTATATACATGCCATGGTGGTTTGCTACACCCATCAACCCGTTATCTACATTAGATATTTCTCCTAATGCTATCCCTCCTCTAGCCCCCCAACCCCTGACAGGCCCCAGTGTGTGATCTTCCCCTCCCTGTATCCATGTGTTCTCATTGGTCAGCTCCCACTTATGAGTGAGAACATGTGGTGGTTGGTTTTCTGTTCCTGTGTTAGTTTGATGAGAATGATGGATTCCAGCTTCATCCATGTCCCTGTAAAGGACATGAACTCATCTTTTTTATGACTGCATAGTATCCCATGGTGTATATGTGCCACATTTTCTTTATCCAGTCTATCATTGATGGGCATTTACATTGGTTCCAAGTCTTTGCTATTGTGAACAGTTTTGCAATATACATATGTGTGCATGTGTATTTACAGCAGAATGATTTATAATCCTTTGGGTATATACCCAGTAATGGGATTGCTGGGGCAAATGATATTTCTGGTCCTAGATCCTTGAGGAATTGCCACACTGTCTTCCACAGTGGTTGAACTAATTTACACTTTCACCAACAGTGTATAAGCGTTCCTATTTCTCCACATTCTCTCCAGCATCTATTGTTTCCTGACTTTTTAATGATTGCCATTCTAACTGGTGTGAGATGGTGTCTCATTGTGGTTTTGATTTGCATTTCTGTAATGACCAGTGATGATGAGCTTTTTTTCCTATCGTTTGTTGACTACATAAATGTCCTTTTGAAAAGTGTCTGTTCATATCCTTTACCCACTTTTTGATGGGGTTGTTTGTTTCTTGTAAATTTGTTTAAGTTCCTTGTAGATTCTGGATATTAGCCCTTTGTCAGATGAAAAGATTGTGAAAACTTTCTCCCATTCTGTAGGTTGCCTGTTCACTCTGATGATAGTTTCTTTTGCTGTGCAGAAGCTCTTTAGTTTAATTAGATCCCATTTGTCTATTTTGGCTTTTGTTGCCATTGCTTTTGGTGTTTTAGTCATGAAGTCTTTGCCCACGCCTATGTCCTGAATGGTATTGCTTAGGTTTTCTTCTAGGGTTTTTATGGTTTTAGGTCTTACGTTTAAGTCTTTAATCCACTTTGAGTTAATTTTTGTATAAAGTGTGAGGAAGGGAGTCCAGTTTCAGTTTTCTGCGTATGGCTAGCCAGTTTTCCAGCACCATTTATTAAATAGGAAATCCTTTCCCTATTCCTTGTCTTTGTCAGGTCTGTCAAAGATCAGATGGCTGTAGATGTGTGGCATTATTTCTGAGGGCTCTGTCCTGTTCCATTGGTCTATACATCTGTTTTGGTACAGGTACCATGCTGTTTTGGTTACCGTATCCTTGTAGTATAGTTTGAAGTCAGGTAGCGTGATGCCTCCAGCTTTGTTCTTTTTGCTTGGTATTGTCTTGACTATGTGGGCTCTTTTTTGGTTCCATATGAACTTTAAAGTAGTTTTTTTCCAATTCTGTGAAGATAGTCAGCGGTAGCTTGATGGGGATAGTATTGAATCTATAAATTACTTTGGGCAGTATGGCCATTTTCATGATATTGAGTCTTCCCATCCATGAGCATGGAATGTTTTTCCATTTGTTTGTGTCCTCTCATATTTCCTTGAGCAGTGTTTGTAGTTCTCCTTGAAGAGATCCTTCATATCCTTTGAAGTTGTATTTCTAGGTATTTTATTCTCTTAGTAGCAATTGCAAACGGGAGTTCACTCATGATTTGGCTCTCTGTTTCTCTATTATTGGTGTATAGGAATGCTTGTGATTTTTGCAGATTGATTTTGTATCCTGAGGCATTGCTGAAGTTGCTTATCAGCTTAAGGAGATTTTGGTCTGAGATAATGGGGTTTTCTAAATATACAAACATGTGTTCTGCAAACAGAGACAATTTTATTTTCTCTCTTCCTATTTGAATAGCCATTATTTCTTTCTCTTGCCTGATTGCCCTGGCCAGAACTCCCAATACTATGTGGAATAGGAGTGGTGAGAAAGGGCATCCTTGTCTTGTGCCAATTTTACAAGGGAATGCTTCCAGCCTTTGCCCATTCAGTATGACGTTGGCTGTGGGTTTGTCATAAATAGCTCTTATTATTTTGAGATACGTTTCATCAATACCTAGTTTATTGAGAGTTTTTAGCATAAACAGAGTGCTGAATTTTATCAAAGGCCTATCTCTACATCTACTGAGATAATCATGTGGCTTTTATCATTGGTTCTGTCTATGTGATGGATTATGTTTATTGATTTGTGTATGTTGAACCAGCCTTGCATCCCAGGGATGAAGCCAACTTGATTGTGGTGGATATGCTTTTTGATATGCTGCTGGATTTGGTTTGCCAGTATTTTATTGAGGATTTTCACATTGATGTCCATCATGGATATTAGCCTGAAATTTTCTTTTCTTGTTGTGTCTCTGCCAGGTTTTGGTATCAGGATGATGCTGGCCTCATAAAATGAGTTAGTGGGAAGTCCCTCTTTTTCTATTGTTTGGAATAGTTTCAGAAGGAATGGTACCAGCTCCTCTTTGTACCTCTGGTAGAATTCAGCTGTGAATCCATCTGGTCCTGGACTTTTTTTGGTTCATAGGCTGTTAATTACTGCCTCAATTTCAGAACTTGTTATTGGTCTATTCAGGGATTCAATTTCTTCCTGGTTTTGTCTTGGGAGGGTGTATGTGTTCTGGAATTGATCCATTTCTTCTAAATTTTCTGGCTTACTTGTGTAGAGGTGTGTACAGTATTATCTGATGGTAGTTTGTATTTCTGTGGGATCAGTGGTGATATCCCCTTTATCATTTTTTATTGTGTCTATATGTTTGTTTGTTTGTTTCTCTCTTTTCTTTTTGAGATGGAGTCTCCCTCTTTCAGCCAGGCTGGAGTGCAGTGGTGCGATCTTGGCTCACTGCAACCTCTGCCTCCTAGGTTCAAGCAATTCTCCTGCCTCAGCCTCCCTGAGAAGCTGGGATTACAAGCATATACCACCACACTCAGCTAATTTTTTTTGTAGTTTTAGTAGAGACAAGGTTTCACCTTATTGGCCAGGCTGGTCTCAAACTCTTGACCTCAGGTGATATGCCTGCCTCAGCCTCCCAGAGTGCTGGGATTACAGGGTTGAGCCAACGCACCTGGCTTTCTAGTGTCTATTTGATTCTTCTCTCTTTTCTTTTTTTATAGTCTGGCTAGCATTCTATTAATTTTGTTAGTCTTTTCAAAAAACCACCTCCTGGATTCATTGATTTTTCGAAGGACTTTTCGTGTCTCTATATCCTTCATTTCTGCTTTGATCTTAGTTATTTATTGTCTTCTGGTAGGTTTTGAATTTGTTTGCTCTTGCTTCTCTAGTTCTTTTAAATTGTGATGTTAGGGTGTCAATTTTAGATCTTTCCTGCTTTCTCCCGTGGGCATTTAGTGCTATAAATTTCCTTCTAAACACTGCTTTAGCTGTGTCCCAGAGATTCTGGTACGTTGTGTCTTTGTTCTCATTGGTTTCAAAGAACTTACTTATTTCTGCCTTAATTTCATTATTTACCCAGTTGTCATTCAGGAGTGAGTTGTTCAGTTTCCATGTAGTTGTGTGGTTTTGAGCGAGTTTCTTAATCCTGAGCTCTAATTTGATTGTACTGTGGTCTGAGAGATTGTTTGTTTTGATTTCTATTCCTTTTCATTTGCTGAGGAGTATTTTACTTCTATTTATGTGGTCAATTTTAGAATAAGTGTGATGTGGTGCTGAGAAGAATGTATATTCTGTTGATTTGGAGTGGAGAGTTTTGTAGATGTTTATTAGGTCCACTTGGTCCAGAGCTGAGGTCAAGCCCTGAATATCCTTGTTCATTTTCTGTCTCGTTGATGCATCTAATATTGACATTGGGGTGTTAAAGTTTCCCACTATTATTGTGTGAGAGTCTAAGTCTCTGTAGGTCTCTAAGAACTTGCTTTATGAATCTGGGTGCTCCTGTATTGGGTGCATATATATTTAGGACAGTTAGCTCTTTTTGTTGCATTGATCCCTTTACTATTATCTAATGCCCTTGTTTGTCTTTTTAGATCTTTGTTGGTTTAAAGTCTGTTTTATCAGAGACTAGGATTGCAACTCCTTCTCTTGTTTTGCTTTCCATTTGCTTGGTAAATATTCCTCCATCCTTTTAATTTGAGCCTATGTGTGTCTTTGCATGTGGGATGGGTATCCTGAATACAGCAAACCGTTGTGTCTTGACTCTTTATCCAATGTGCCAGTCTGTGTCTTTTAATTTGAGCATTTAGCACGTTTACATTTAAGGTTAATATTGATATGTGTGAATTTGATTCTGTCATTATGATGCTAGCTGGTTATTTTACCCATTAGTTGATGCAGTTTCTTCATAGTGTCTATGGTCTTTACAATTTAGTATATTTTTGCAGTGACTGGTACAGTTTATTCTTTTCATGTTGTTTGAGGAGTATCTTTGTGGTGTTCTCTGTATTTCCTGAATTTGAATGTTGGCCTGTCTTGCTAGGTTGGCAGAAGTTCTCCTGGATAATCTACTGAAGAGTGTTTTCCAACTTGGTTCCATTCTCCCCATCACTTTCAGGTACACGAATTAAACATAGGTTTGGTCTTTTCAAGTCCCATATTTCTTGGAGGCTTTTTTTGTTCCTTTTCATTCTTTTTTCTCTTATCTTGTCTTCACGCTTTATTTCATTAGGTTGATCTTCGATCTCTGATATCCTTTCTTCCACTTGATCATTTCAGCTATTCATACTTGTGTATGCTTCACGAAGTTCTCGTGCTGTGTTTTTCAGCTCCATCAGGTCACTTATGTTCTTCTCTAAACTGGTTATTCTAGTTAGTATTTCCTCTAACCTTTTTTCAAGGTTCTTAGCTTTTCTGAATTGGGTTAGAACATGCTCCTTTAGCTCAGAGAAGATTGTTATTACCCACCTTCTGAAGCCTACTACTGTCAATTTGTCAAACTCATTCTCTGTCCAGTTTTGTTTCCTTGCTGGAGAGGAGTTGTGATCCTTTGGAGGAGAAGAGGCATTCTGGTTTTTGCAATTTTCAGCCTTTTTGTGCTGTTTTTTTGTTTTTTTTTTTCCCTCATCTTCATGGATTTATCTACCTTTGATCTCTGATGTTGGTGATCTTCGGATGAGGTTTTTGTGTGGACATCTCTTTTGTTGATGTTGATGCTATTCCTATTTGTTAGTTTTCCTTCTAACAGTCAGTCCCCTCTGGTGCAGGTCGGCTGGAGTTTGTTGGAGGTCCACTTCAGACCCTGTTTGCCTGAGTATCTCACCAGCGGAGGCTGCAGAACAGCAATGATTGCTGCCTGTTCCTTCCTCTGGAAGCTTTATCCCAGAGGGGCACCTGCCAGATGCCAGCCAGAGCTCTCCTGTATAAGGTGTTTGTCGACCCCTGCTGGGAGATGTCTCCCAGTCAGGAGGCACGGGGGTCAGGGACCCACTTGAGGAGGCAGTCTGTCCCTTAGCAGAGCTTGAGCACTGTGCTGGGAAATCTGCTGCTCTCTTCAGAGCTGGCAGGCAGGAATGTTTAAGTCTGCTGTAGCTGTGCCCACTGAGCCGTCCCTTCCCCCAGGTGCTCAGTGTTATAAATAAAACTCCCCAGGGAGATGGGAGTTTTATTTATAAGTCCCTAACTGGGGCTGCTGCCTTTCTTTCAGAGATGCCCTCCCCAGGGAGGAAGAATCTAGAGAGGAAGGCTGGCTACGGGAACTTTGCAGAGCTGTGGTGGGCTCTGCCCAGTTTGAACTTCCCTGCAGCTTTATTTACAATGTGAGGGGAAAACCACCTACTTAAGCCTCAGTAATGATGAACACCCCTCCCCGCACGAAGCATCCCAGGTGCTGTGCTGGCAGTGAGAATTTCAAGCCAGTGGATCTAAGCTTGCTGCGGTTCCGTTGGAGGGGGGGTGGGGTGGGATCTGCTGATAGACCATTTGGCCCCTGGTGTCAGCCCCCTTTCCAGGGCAGTGAACGGTTCTGTCTTGCTGGCATTCCAGGCGCACATGGGGTATGAAAAAAAAACTCTTGCAGCTAGCTTGGTGTCTGCTCAAATAGCCACCCAGTTTTGTGCTTTAAACCCAGGATCCTGGTGGTGTAGGCACCCGAGGGAATCTCCTGGTCTGTGGATTGCAAAGACCATGGGAAAAGCATAGTATGTTGCCCACAATGCACCATTCCTCACGGCACAGTGCCTCATGGCTTCTCTTGGCTAGGGAAAGGAGTTCCCTGACGCCTTGTGCTTCCCAGGTGAGGCAACACCCCACCCAGCTTCTGCTCTCCATCTGTGGGCTGCACCCACTGTCTAACCAGTCCCAATGAGGTGAGCTGGGCACCTCAATTGGAAATGCAGAAATCACCCGCCTTCTGCATTGATCTCACTGGGAGCTACAGACCAGAGCTGTTCCTATTCAGCCAGCTACCTGATTTTTATATTTTTAAAGACATTCTTAAACTGTGCATTCCAAGACTGCTCAACCAACTCTTGTTGGCTGAGAATATAATGCATGCAACATAAAAAGAATAAAAATGAACTCCTCTAAAATATTTTCAGAAAAGTTGTTTGAATTGAATGATATGATGTTAAAAATGATGATCCGCTCTCCACTGGAGATTAGAGTGCAAGTCTGTGTGGTGCACAGGATATATTTAAATGAATGTTTGAATAAGTATTTCTGCAAAACCTCCTCTATAATTATCAAGATGCATTAAGTTTGTGCTACTCCCAAACAATTTTTCGTCCTCTAAAATGCTCTAGCCTTTATGAGTTATTAAAGATACATATGTAATCAGACTATAAATAAAATAGGTTAGGATAAATCATGCAGCTTTTCTTCCACCTCGTGTAACATTTTATCACTATGGTATGTGTCAAGACAGAAACTGCCTGAGGAAAAATGACAAATACTTCACTTCATGATTAATCTTTTTGCCATTATAAATGTCTTTTTTAAATTAATGTTTTATTTTGTATCTAGAGTTTGTATTTATAAGAAACCTTTTGTATTTAATCAGATCAATTTCTCATTGCTCTCCAAAAATACTCAATGCCTATTCACTTATTATATTTTCTTCTAAGCCAGCTTCTTCTTGAGAAGTTAGTTGAACTTCTGAGAAGCAGGAAGAAGAGTGATATTATTTCCTTTCCATTACTGCGCCATCCAATAAAGCCATAAATAAAAATCTAGTATTCAAATTCCAAAGAAAACTGAAGAAGGCAACATGATCTGGTGGAAGTATATTCATGAATCTCTTAGGAGCTTGGCCTTGAGTGTAAACATGTCTTCAAGTCAGACTCTTTCAGTGAGGACAAGTTACATGGCCACCACGCACCACAGTAAGGGAGGCTGGGGAACAGGAACCGTCTGCTCTTGTGACTCCATTTATTTTTATAGCCTTCTTCTTACAGAATGATCACTCACCCTCCTCCCCAAAAGAAACAATCCAAAGGCAAACTCCAGGATTTCAGGGTGATTCAAGACCAGTCTACCAGGTTTACATGTGATTCCTCATATGCTAGTGATTAGAACACAAATCAGCTGCTGCCCTAAACACACACATCCATACATTCATGCCTTGGCCTAGAAGTAGCATGTATCATTTTACCTACATGTCATTAAAGGATATAAAATATTTCATTTGACACTGAAAAATTTAGAAAGTTATTCAGCCAGTTGCTTTTCATAGCATGCACATGTTGAGAAGTATTTATTTTTGGTATCATCTGACAAAACATCAAAATGATTAGCTAATATTTCCATTATTGTAGACATATATCATTGATTACATATACTCACATCTTTCTGCAATAGACTCTCTCTATAGTACTTGCCTTTAAACACATATATCCTCACGCATTCTTCTGAAAGTACTTTAAGTATTTCAGTTCATTTAATTGGGTTATGTAAAATAATTAATGTGTGGCTAAAATTTCTAGTGGCTGAAAGCTATTATAGTTTTCTAGTGGCTGAAAGCCATTATAGTTTTAATTGGCCTACCCTCACTAAGTTTTAAAACTATAAGTCAGTTTTAAAACTTATTTAAAGCCATCATAGCTTTAAAACTAAGTGAGGATAGGCCATTTAAATTAGTAAGGCTGTGTTTTCATCAGAAATCAAACAGGTGTTGAAATCTTGATTGTATAATATACACATTTTTAAAAAGTCTTCAGTGGCTTGAAAATTTCACTTTATTTTAATGTTTTCTATAATTACAAAGTAATTAAAATAATAAAAATAATTGTTATAATTTGATTTTTTATAGCTCACCAAATTCCCTAATGATATTGTTTTTTTCCTCTTTGGAGGAAAGTTTGTATTGCTATTTATAATAAATGTATAACTTCACACATCTTATAATTGAAATAAATTTAAATGGATTATGACTTTACTAGATCCTTCTCAACACAAGGAACACATCTTAGTTCACAAGGGAAAAAAGAATAGTGAAAACCCAAAAGACTGTGCCTCTTTTCTATTCTCTACCTTGCAAGGAAGTCGGGACAAGTCACAGTAATCCAGTGAATTCCTGTTTCAGAAGGGGCATTGCTCAAGGTCTGACGGGACCTTAATTCCGTCACAGTATAGGCAAAAAAAATCCTCCCCTTCCCACCACAGTGTCAACATATATGCCTGTTAAACTTTTGTACATCATTTGTTCTGCGGTCAGTTTCCAAATGAAATTGAGTATCTTTAGCGGCTGACAACTGTTATTACTTACATGAATCTGAATCAGACAGAACCTAAAAATGCCCAACTCATTTTTTTCCACTAACTACACCACCCCCCATATTTTGAACTAGATCTTTCCATTTTTAATCACTGCATTACACAGCTCCATCAACCTCATGCTTTCTCTCTCCTTTTTCCTCATATCTTTTACATCGTTGCACTGATAATCCTTGTCAATCTCTACCTTAAAAAACTGCTGTTACCTTTCAAAGAAATTATTTCATATTGGCTTTACAAAGCCATGAGTGTATATTTAGTCTGTTAAATTAGATTAGATCCTTCAGAGATTTAACTGAGGACAATAGAATATTAACTTCCTACTGTTTTTCTAATGACAGTGAACCTTCTCCATTGTTCAAGTATACTCACTTGCCTTTTAAATGACATTGTATGGATGCCATCCCTTACGGCATTTAGATATTATTGATGTGCCACAATTTGAACAATGTTCAGAAGTACACAAATATCCATAATAAGACATCTTGTTGTAAGATGAGTTGTCTAAGAAATTTCTCCAAAGGGACATAGCACGTTTGCCCCAGATGCAGCATAACATCAATTTATGAAACAATGATTGTTATTAGTTAAGAAAGATTTTAGCTTTATTGACGTGTTGGGTGGAAGAATTCTTTAATGAGGGAGGAGTTTCCTATTCCTTGTAGGATGTATAGCATCCCTGACTTCTACCCACAAAATGCCAGCAGCCCTCACCTCCAAGCTGTGACAACCAAACATTTCCCCAGATATTGTGAAATACCCTTTGGGGGACAAAATTGCTCCCTGTTGAGAACCACTGGAGTAACACTAATTGCTATAGCAGAGACCCAAAACACATAAAGGTTTAGAAAACAGTAGTTCATTTCCCTCATAATATTCCTGGGAAGGTAAATAGATTAGTGAGTCATCTCTCTTTCATGTAGTCTTTAGGGATACATGCTGAAGGAGACTGCCATCTTCAATAAAGTCTTCCAGTTTTGTCTTGTATTCTCCATCTAAGCCAGTCAAAAGGGTAAAAGAGCATTGAAGGGGAACTTAAATGCCATAAAAGCTTTGGTCTTGAAATAATGCACATCACTCTAATTTACTTTCCATTGGTGAGAATAAACTGCATGGCCACAGTGAACTACAAGAGAAGCTGCAATAATAGCATAGCTCTATGCCTAAGAGAAGAGAGAAATATTTTCAGCGAACAGTTAGCCATAAGACTTCCTACTCAGAAATTATCCATTTGGATTCATTTGCATTGGATCCTTGTTACATCCTTGCATATACAACACACTTATATCCCTTTTACAAGAGACACAATCCAATTTCTCCTTTTACACCATTCAGTTCAAACCCCAGCATATCAGGGTCATACAGTCTTCTCTATTGAGATCAGCTGTGGTTCTTCATGGTGCAAAGACCTTTGAATGAAGAAACAATTTATTGGCCTCACCCACAACTATGATCTCTTGATATACAAAGACCACTCAAGTTCTAAAAACCTTGGCCTAGAGGTGGTACACATCATTTCATTTGTATTTCATTGGCAGGAGCTAGTCACAAGACTACATCAAACTGCAATGGAGGTTGAAATATGTTGCCTAACACAGAAAAAGGAACTTTGTTTTGATGAATGAGTAACAAAGTTACCAGTTTCTGGAACATAATGTAATCTGGGGAGTGATTAGATTATATGCCAAGAATAAAAGATTAAGCCCCCAGATAATACTGAACGTTAGGCATGCCTACAACATTTTGGTTCTAAATAGTCAGAAATAAGTAGATTTTCAGAAGAATGTGGGGTGTCTAAAGGAGTACATTTACTTCCTGTGTGGGAAGGGAGTGGCAGGACACAGAGTTAGTTTGAAGGCAGAGCATTATTCCCAATTGGAGCACAAAACTAAAAAGCAAGAAAAACGCCTCCTGTTTTAGTTTTTCATTTTGTTTTGTTTCTGTTTTTTTTTTTTTTTTAATAAGTGGATTAAGAATGAAGGCCTCTCTTGGGACACATTGGTTTCCAATGATTATTCTAGATAGTGTGAAGGCTGTTAAAGATAACAGTTCTAAATTATACTCTCAGCATCCAGAGGGTGATAAATGTTTAGAAACAAGTCAGAATTGATCTGATGAGATTGCACTTCCTCAAGTTAAGCCAATACTAAATGGCTATCACAAGCTAGGAAGAGACACTCATTCTCTTCAATGTTACTTTAGTTTTAGCTTTTTCATTACGTTTTTGTTTGTCTTCTGAATCTTTAAAAGTTTGTTCATAGATTTTTTGATATGTAGTTCCTAGAGCTTTTGTCAAGGAAAACTTGCATAAGACAAGTTAAACAGGTAAGAAGTCTTTATTCAAGACTATTTCAAAGGGAGACAGAGATTGAACTCAATACTGCTTTAAACAAAAGGTGGGAGAATCTTTAAGAACTGAGGTGAACTGGTATAAAAATAGGATGTTAGGTAGGAGGTTGGTCAATGTGATTAGTCCATTTGAATTTGCTAATTGGCATTTATCAAAGTTAGGCTACTATGCTACCCCAAAGACTGGGAGTTAGTGGCAGTATCTTCCTTGATGATTATCTTTCAAAGGGATGGCTCCCAGATCCTTAAGAAGGACATTACTGGGTTGTAAAACTGTCCAGAGGTTATGAAAAGATTTATGTCTCAAAGGGGCAAAGAACAAATTTACAAATACAAGTTTTTTGAAGTAAATGCTCCAAGAAAAGAGAGGCCATAGACCTTTAGTCAGGAGAAAACCTATGTAATGTTTATTTAAGCTGAGGAGAACAGTAAGACCATCTCTTCAGTATTGAAATATAAAAGTGGTGTATTCAATGGTAAGTGGAGGCAATTATATATACGTTTTTAGATATAGTCTTTTGATTATGCAGTCCAAAAATCCATTTGCTCTTTGGTGACTCACATAAATCTATCAATTTAAATGGCTCACAGAAATCTCTGACCCAAAATGGCTAGTGATTTTTCTTTTTTAGGACACAGTCATAAGAAATTTCCTTTGGTTCCACACTTGGTCTTTTCTATATTTGAGACATCTGAATTTCTGAATTTTAATAATTATATATTTTATATAGCTATTCAAAACTTTGAAAAAACATTAAAAATATAAGGCTAATGTAACAGGGTAGAGGTTATCTGTTTTTATTAGAACCCTAGGGCCGGGTTAAGTAAAAACTGATTTCTGTAATATATTAGCATTTAGGTTATGAGTCTCCACCTATTCCTAAGTACAGTCATATGCTTCTTAACAATGATTCTGTCAATGATGAACCACATATACAACAGTGGTTCCATAAGATTACAACAGCTATACCATATAGCCTAGGGTGTAGTAGACTATATGGTATAGCTAGGTTTGTACAAGCACTCTTTATGATGTTTGCACAATATCAAAATCACCTAAAATGCATTTCATAAAACTTATACCTGTCATTAAGTGACACATGACTGTATTTGCCAACAACTTTGAGAAAATTCAGGCGTGAAATGTTCACAACAGTACACACTGCTTTTCAAATCCAATAAAAAAGGGAACAAGTGTAATATCATGTGGCTGTTTTCAGAGTAGTCTTCTCTTGTTGATCATTAGTCCAGTATTTACTTAATTATCCTCATGATTTAAACCTAATATTTAACTTTTATGTTTTCTCTCGGCATGTTTTCTGAGTGTCATCTAATTTTCTTCATAGTAATGATTTTTTTATGTTACTTTTACTTTATTGGTATTATTTCATGATTAACCACTTCTCTTTCTTCTTTTCAAAATATTTGCATAAACACTTTTTGGCCAGAATGTAATGATTTCATTTAAATAAAAATAGTGTTAGAAGATAAGGCACTCTTCTTTTGTTTTGTTATCCCAAGATTAAATCCTCCCAAATCCTGTATGTATGCATATGCTTCATATTTCTCCTTTATCACAGAGGTGGTTCTCACCCTCAGTTACTTGTAAAATAATCAACTCCTTCTATGGTTATTTTGCAACATTAATGTCTCCCATGCATACTTTGAAAGAATTATTTCACTCTTTGGCAATTCTAATGCCCTTGACTTTGTATGGTGCCCTTGTCAGTCCTCAGTAGGCCCATTTGTTTCCTTCTAGAAGAAAGTAATAAAGTTCTGTTGAGATAATGACCTTCAGTTTTAACTTTTACAAAAACAGAAGTAAATTTTTACCACATAATTAATTTAATGGTCATTTATCCTCAAGAATTTTTGAAAAAGGTATTCCTTATTTTTAAAAAATATATAAATAATGAGACTATATTCAGAGACCTCTTTAATGACTATTTAAATACGTTTTAATTTTTAATTTATGTGACTTGAAATAAAAATTATTAAATTTAAAGTTCATGATCCTTAAAGATCATGAACCTAAATTAAATATGAAGTAAATAATTGATCATGCCTTGACCGTTTTTAAAAAAAATTAGACTATCTGAAAGGGGAAACATTTATTGTGAACTCTGATAATTTGTTATCAAAAGAACAATTAAAATATGCTGTCATTCAGCATATGAGTAATGATCATGATTATGACTGATTTATTTTCTTAGAGATACTGATACCCCATTGGTAGTAAAATTATTAGTTTTATAATATAATATAATTAGAGAATTTTCAGAGCTAAAGCTACACTGAGAAACCAAAGATTCAGTTCTCTGTAATCATGGAAGTCACACAGATTATTGAGTTATAATAAGGCTTATAATTCTTTGAAAAATAATGGGTCTATGGATTTAACATCCATGCTATAGAAATTAATTATATTTAGGATGTGTGAAAGGTTATCCTACGTTTAAGTCATGAATTCAGATTTGTTTTGAACCTAACGTTTTGAATCACGTCCTTCTGATAGTGAATGAGCCTAGTTTACTGTTCAGTGTATGCATCTCAGTATGGTTGTGATGCTTTCTTTTGAATATGTAATACTTTTGTGAAGTGAAAGAAGAAATCGCCTGTATTCGTTTCAAAGGGCTGACATAACAAATTAGCTTAAATTGGGTGGCTTACAACAATAGAAATTTATTCTTTCATAATTCTAGAAGCAAGGAGTCTGAAATTAAGATTTTAACACGGTATGTTTTCTCTGAAAGTTCCAGGGAAGAATCCTTTCTTGCCTCTTCCTAGCCGCTGGTGATTGCCAGCAATCCTTTGGTTTCCTTGGTTTGTAGCTGCATCATTTCAGTCTCTGCTTCCACCTTCAACTAGCTGTTTTCCTGCTGTGTGTGACTGTGTTTTTGCACAGCCTTCTTATAAGGACGTCAGTCATTGGATTATCTATGTAACCTCAAAGAAGCCACCTAAGTTTTATTTTCCTCATGTTAATTTCCTCCTCTAAGTAGGAATAAGTTAGCTCACAGAATTTTTGTGAGGATCAAATAGAATGTGCTTTGGGAAAGATAAAGTAATAGAAAAATATTTGAATTCTTTTTAACTTGTACCAGTCGGTAAGGTAAGCATACACCTATACCCAGGAGAACTGCCATGGCCCAAGAGCAGAAGTCAAGCAGAAACAGCCAGCTGAAAATTAGTATATTGGACTACAGTGTAGAACTAGACAGAGATCTGGGAAACATCTGCAAGAAAGTGATGGTCTAAGGACTTTGGAAATTTAATCATAAAATAAATAACGTAAATTCTACTTTTACATTAGAGTTAATACTGTGCAAATATAAAACATGTATCAAATCATATACAACTTTAAAAAATATCCCTATATGTTGAAACATCATATGAAAAAATTATTTATTAATATGGAATCAAACATATATCCTTAGGTTTATATTTTTACCTGGCATACTAATCCAGTTTAAAAAGCAGACACACAGTTGCAAAACATGAGCATTCTACTTTATAAGATGGCCCAGTAGCCCGTAGTTTGTAGATTACAACTGATGTGAGTTTTTAGATTGCAACTGACCTGAGTTCTGATCATCTGTGCATTTTTGGGAGGAAGGGCATTTTAACACAAGCACATGGGTAAAGAAGACAGAAAGAAATAGGCAGAATCAAAGAATACAAGGCTTCAGTTATATAGAAGAAACACAATCAGGAAAATTATTATACAACATAGTGACTATAGTTAATATAAATGTTAAGAAAGTAGTTGTAAAGTGTTCTCACCACAAGGATGATAACTGTCAGGTCTCTGATCCCAAGCCAAGCCATCACATCCCCTGTGACTTGCACGTATACATCCAGATGGCCTGAAGTAACTGAAGATCCACAAAAGAAGTAAAAATAACCTTAACTGATGACACTCCACCATTGTGATTTGTTTCTGCCCCACCCTCACTGATCAATGTACTTTGTAATCTCTGCCACCCTTAAGAAGCTTCTTTATAATTTTCCCCACCCTTAAGAAGGTTCTTTGTTATTCTCCCCACCCTTGAGAATGTACTTTGTGAGATCCACCCCTGCCTGCAAAACATTGCTCTTAACTTCACCACCTATCCCAAAACCTCTAAGAACTAATGATAATCCACCACCCTTTGCTGACTCTCTTTTCGGACTCAGCCCGCCTGCACCCAGGTGAAATAAACAGCCATGTTGCTCACACAAAGCCTGTTTGGTGGTCTCTTTACACGGACACGCATGAAATTTGGTGCCATGACTCGGATCAGGGGACCCCCCACTTGGGAGATCAATCCCCCGTCCTCCTGCTCTTTGCTCCGTGAGAAAGATCCACCTATGTATGACCTCAGGTCCTCAGACTGACCAGCCCAAGAAACATCTCACCAGTTTCAAATCTGGTAAGCAGCCTCTTTTTACTCTCTTCTCCAACCTCCCTCACTATTTCTCAACCTCTTTCTCCTTTCAATCTTGGCACTACACTTCAATCTCTCCCTTCTCTTAATTTCAATTCCTTTCATTTTCTAGTAGAGAAAAAGGAGACACGTTTTATCCGTGGACCCAAAACTCTGGCGCCGGTCACGGACTGGGAAGGCAGCCTTCCCTAGGTGTTTAATCATTGCAGGGGCACCTCTCTGATTATTCACCCACGTTTCAGACGTGTCAGACCACACAGGGATGCCTGCCTTGGTCCTTCACCCTTAGCGGCAAGTCCCACTTTTCTGAGGGAGGGGCAGGTACCCCAACCCCTTCTTTCCGTGTCTCTACCCCTTCTCTGCTCTTCTGGGGCAGGGGCAAGAACCCCTCACAACCCCTTCTCCTTCACCCTTAGCAGCAAGTCCCACTTTTCTAGGGGGCAAGAACCCCCAATCCCTTATTCCCGTGCCCCAACCCCTTCTCTGCTTTTATGGAGGGCAAGAACCCCCCACCCCTTCTCCGTGTCTCTACTCTTTTCTCTGGGCTTGCCTCCTTCACTATGGGCAAGCTTCCACCTTCCATTCCTCCTTCTTCTCCCTTAGCCTGTGTTCTTAAGAACTTAAAACCTTTTCAACTCTCACCTGACCTAAAATCTAATCGTCTTATTTTTTTCTGCAATGCCGCTTGACCCCAATACAAACTCAACAGTACTTCCAAATAGCTGGAAAACGGCACTTTCAATTTTTCCATCCTACAAGATCTAAATAATTCTTGTCATAAAATGGGCAAATGATCTGAGGTGCCTGACGTCCAGGCATTCTTTTACACATCAATCCCTTCCTAGTCTCTGTGCCCACTGCAACTCATCCCAAATCTTCCTTCTTTCCCTCCCTCCTGTCCCCCCAGTCCCAACCTCAAGTGTCCCTGAGTCTTTCTAATCTTCCTTTTCTACAGACCCATCTGACCTCTCCCCTCCTCGCCAGGCTGAGCTAGGTCTCAATTCTTCCTCAGCCTGGGCTCCTCCACCCTATTATCTTTTTATCGCCTCCCCTCCTCACACCTGGTCCCGCTTACAGTTTCGTTCCGTGACTAGCCCTCCCCCACCTGCCCAGCAATTTACTCTTAAAAAGATGGCTGGAGCTAAAGGCATAGTCAAGGTTAATGCTCCTTTTTCTTTATCCCAAATCAGATAGCATTTAGGCTCTTTTTCATAAAATATAAAAATCCAGCCCAGTTCATGACTTGTTTGGCAGCAACCCTGAGACGCTTTACAGCCCTAGACCCTAAAAGGTCAAAAGGCCGTCTTATTCTCAAAATACATTTTATTAGCCAATCTGCCCCCGACATTAAATAAAACTCCAAAAATTAAATTCTGGCCCTCAAACCCCACAACAGGACTTAATTAACCTTGCCTTCAAGGTGTACAATAATAGAAAAAAGTTGCAATTCCTTGCCTCCACTGTGAGACAAACCCCAGCCACATCTCCAGCACACAAGAACTTCCAAACGCCTGAACCGCACTGACCTGGCGTTCCTCCAGAACCTCCTCCCCCAAGAGCTTGCTACAAGTGCCAGAAATCTGACCACCAGGCCAAGGAATGCCTGCAGCCCAGGATTCCTCCTAAGCCATGTCCCATCTGTGTGGGACCCCACTGGAAATCAGACTGTTCAACTCACCTGGCAGCCACTCCCAGAGCCCGTGGAACTCTGGCCCAAGGCTCTCTGACTGACTCCTTGGCTTAGCGGCTGAAGACTGACGCTGCCCGATTGCCTCAGAAGCCCCGTAGACCATCACAGATGCAGAGCTTTGGGTAACTCTCACAGTGGAGGGCAAGTCCGTCCCCTTCTTAATCAATACGGAAGCTACCAACTCCACATTACCTTCTTTTCAAGGGCCTGTTTCCCTTGCCTCCATAACTGTGGTAGGTATTGACAGCCAGGCTTCTAAACCTCTTAAAACTCCCCAACTCTGGTGCCAACTTAGAAAATACTCTTTTAAGCACTCCTTTTTAGTTATCCCCACCTGCCCAGTTCCCTTATTAGGCCGAGACACTTTAACTAAATTATCTGCTTCCCTGACCATTCCTGGATTACAGCTACATCTCATTGCCGCCCTTCTTTCCAATCCAAAGCCTCCTTTGTGTCCTCCTCTTCTATCCCCCGACCTTAACCCACAAGTATAAGATACCTCTACTCCCTCCTTGGCGACCGATCATGCACCCCTTACCATCTCATTAAAACCTAATCACCCTTACCCCGCTCAATGCCAATATCCCATCCCACAGCATACTTTGAAAGGATTAAAGCCTGTTATCACTCGCCTGCTACAGCATGGCCTTTTAAAGCCTATAAACTCTCAGAGTTCCCCCATTTTACCTGTCCTAAAACCAGACAAGCCTTACAAGTTAGTTCAGGATCTATGCCTTATCAACCAAATTGTTTTGCCTATCCACCCCATGGTGCCAAACCCATATACTCTCCTATCCTCAATACCTCCCTCCACAACCCTTTATTCTGTTCTAGATCTCAAACATGCTTTCTTTACTATTCCTTTGCACCCGTCATCCCAGACTCTCTTCGCTTTCACTTGGACTGACCCTGACACCCATTAGGCTCAGCAAATTACCCGGGCTGTACTGCCGCAAGGCTTCACAGACAGCCCCCATTACTTCAGTCAAGCCCAAATTTCATCCTCATCTGTTACCTATCTCGGCATTATTCTCATACAAACACACGTGCTCTCCCTGCTGATCATGTCTGATTAATCTCCCAAACCTCAATCCCTTACAAAACAACAACTCCTTTCCTTCCTAGGCATGCTTAGGGTGGTCAGAATTCTTACACAAGAGCCAGGACCACACCCTGTAGCCTTTCTGTCCAAACAACTTGATCATACTCTTTTAGCCTAGCCCTCATGTCTGCGTGCAGCCGCTGCCGCTGCTTTAATACTTTTAGAGGCCCTAAAAATCACAAACTACGCTCAACTCACTCTCTACATTTCTCATAACTTCCAAAATCTATTTTCTTCCTCATACCTGATGCATATACTTTCTGCTCCCCAGCTCCTTCAGCTGTACTCACTCTTTGTTAAGTCCCACAATTACCATTGTTCCTGGCCCGGACTTCAATCTGGCCTTGCACATTATTCCTGATACACCTGACCCCCATGACTGTATCTCTCTGATCCACCTGATATTCACCCCATTTCCCCATATTTCCTTCTTTCCTGTTCCTCACCCTGATCACGCTTGATTTATTGATGGCAGTTCCACCAGGCCTAATCACCACACACCAGCAAAGGCAGGCTATGCTATAGTACAAGCCACCAGCCCACCTCTCAGAACCTCTCATTTCCTTTCCATCTTGGAACTCTATCCTCAAGGAAATAACTTCTCAGTGTTCCATCTGCTGTTCTACTACTCCTCAGGGATTATTCAGGCCCCCCTCCCTTCCCTACACATCAAGCTCGAGGATTTGCCCCCACCCAGGACTGGCAAATTAGCTTTACTCAACAAGCCCCGAGTCAGGGAACTAAAATACCTCTTAGTCTAAATAGACACTTTCACTGAGTAAGTAAAGGCTTTTCCTACAGGGTCTGAGAAGACCACCGCAGTCATTTCTTCCCTTCTGTCAGACATAATTCCTCAGTTTAGCCTTCCCACCTCTATACAGTCTGATAACAGACCAGCCTTTATTAGTCAAATCAGCCAAGCAGTTTTTCAGGCTCTTAGTATTCAGTGAAACCTTTATATCCCTTACGGTCCTCCTTCTTCAAGAAAAGTAGAACGGACTAAAGGTCTTTTAAAAACACACCTCGCCAAGCTCAGCCACCAACTTAAAAAGGACTGGACAATACTTTTACCACTTTCGCTTCTCAGAAGTCAGACCTGTCCTCAGAATGCTACAAGGTACAGCCCATTTAAGCTCCTGTGTAGACGCTCCTTTTTATTAGGCCCCAGTCTCATTCCAGACACCAGACCAACTTACACTGTGTCCCAAAAAAACTTGTCATCCCTATCTTCTGTCTAGTCATACTCCTATTCACCGTTCTCAACTACTCATACATGCCCTGCTCTTGTTTACACTGCCGGTTTACACTGTTTCTCCAAGCCATCACAGCTGATATCTCCTGGTGCTATCCCCAAACTGCCACTCTAAACTCTTGAAGTAAATAAATAATCTTTGCTGGCAGGACTATGCTGAACCTCCTTAGGCACTCTCTAATTAGATGTCCTCGGTCCTCCCAATTCTTAGACCTTTTATACCTGTTTTTCTCCTTCTCTTATTCCATTTAGTTTTTCAATTCATACAAAACTGTATCCAGGCCATCACCAATCATTCCATATGACAAATGTTTCTTCTAACATCCCCACAATATCACCCCTTACCACAAGATCTCCCTTCAGCTTAATCTCTCCCACTCTAGGTTCCCACGCCGCCCCTAATCCCGCTTGAAGCAGCCCTGAGAAACATCGCCCATTCTCTCTCCATACCACCCCCCAAAAATTTTCGCCGCCCCAACACTTCAACATTATTTTGTTTTATTTTTCTTATTAATATAAGAAGGCAGAAATGTCAGGCCTCTGAGCCCAAGCCAAGCCATCGCATGCCCTGTGACTTGCAAGTATACATCCAGATGGCCTGAAGTAACTGAAGATCCACAAAAGAAGTAAAAATAACCTTAACTGATGACATTCCACCATTGTGATTTGTTTCTGCCCCACCCTCACTGATCAATGTACTTTGTAATCTCTGCCACCCTTAAGAAGGGTCTTTATAATTTCCCCCACCCTTAAGAAGGTTCTTTGTTATTCTCCCCACCCTTGAGAATGTACTTTGTGAGATCCACCCCTGCCTGCAAAACATTGCTCTTAACTTCACCACCTATCCCAAAACCTCTAAGAACTAATGATAATCCACCACCCTTTGCTGACTCTCTTTTTGGACTCAGCCCGCCTGCACCCAGGTGAAATAAACAGCTATGCTGCTCACACAAAGCCTGTTTAGTGGTCTCTTCACACGGACGTGCATGAAAATAACTATATGAGGTAATACATATGTTAATTAGCTGGATTTTGTCATTTTACAGTGTATATATACTTCAAAACTTCATGACATACATAGTAAACATATACAATTTTATCCGTCAAAAAAAATAATAATAATAGGCTGAGTCTAAGGTGAGAGTCAACTGAGATGTGTAGCTTCTCCCCGGTAGTGACAGTGATTGAGCAAATAAAAAAATGTATTTCTGTCCACTTGACTGAGGTCCAAATAGGTTGTCCTCATTCAAGTGAACAGCAATTCATTCATTCATTTACTTATTTATTCAACTTACCTGCTGAGTGATTTCTAAGTATAAGGAACTGTTAAATGCTGAGGATATACGGGAGTCAAGCATAGCACCTATCTTCAACTTAAAATCTAGTGGAAAAATGCTACTTAAATTAGTATTGTTTAATATTAATTAATTACTGTTAATGACAGCTGAGAATTATTGACTAAATACTTGATATAAATCATTCAAAAACTCTGGTCTAAAAAGAAAATATAAAGCTCTACCTTAATTAGTGCCTGCAATTGCTAAGGGCTGTGAAGGGCGGAGCTCAAAATTAATATTTAATTTTATATAAGTTTATGCATGTAATGAGGAACTCATTATTTTGAATCATAATATTGCTAAATTGAAGTAGAAAAAGAAAAAAGCTGACTGCTAGAACTGAAAATTTTTTAGAGATCCTCATTTTACACATAGAGAAATAGTAGCTGAGAGTTAGCAAATAAGAACCTTAGATTCAGTTACAGTGTTTGGGAAGAGATTGGCTGATTTTGTCTTAAAACTGATTTCTATTACTTTGTGGTTATTGTCTTTATACACATTAGGTAGCCAGAGTGATCTTTAAAATATATATATATACACACACACATGTGTTTAAAGCTGTTTCAAATCGTTAAATAGTTTTCTATGGCTCTTAAGAGAATAACCAAAATATTTATTTGGCTCATATTAAAATAGGAATAGATCTAGGTGGTCGCAGAAGGATGGAAAAACCCAAACAGCTGCCAAAACAAGAACTAGGCAAAGAAACTACAGGATAACAGAAAACCCAAAATAAGGGAGAGAACATGACTAAAACCCCCATCAGGGTGATATGTCCATGACTCTTCTGGGCAAACCCAAATAAGGGAGAAAGTGGTCAGTAACCAGGAGTCCCTGAAATCCCCTCCTTTTCCAGAATATCTAATGATTATTACACCCCTAATTAAAGAAACACCCATAAAATAAGGATGCTGGGTAGTCACCGGAGAAGTGGGAAAATAAGCAGCAATTTCACACAGCAGCAAAAAAGCAGCTGTTCCAGTTAGCCACAAGGACAAGGACGAACTTGGGCTGATAAGATCCTAACAAACAGGATGGGGGCTAAGCTGGTTGAAACCGGCTGGGTCCAACATAGTATTGGGTTTAACCCATGTTCTACCCCAGACCAATCATATGCTCATTACCATACTAAGTCACACACCCACCAGCACCACGACAGATAGGAGCACGGCCGTATGTAGTATAAAAATAGGTGGCAGCCGGGCACGGTGGCTCACGCCTGTAATCCCAGCACTTTGGGAGGCGGAGGTGGGTGGATCATGAGGTCAGGAGATCGAGACCATCCTGGCTAACAAGGTGAAACTCCATCTCTACTAAAAATGCCAAAAAAAAAAAAAAAAAAAAAAAATTAGCCGGGCGTGGTGGCAGGCGCTACTTGGGAGGCCGAGGGAGGAGAATGGCGTGAACCTGGGAGGCGGAGCTCGCAGTGAGCCGAGATCGCGCCACTGCACTCCAGCCTGGGCGACAGAGCAAGACTCCGTCACAAAACAAAACGAAACAAACAAACAAACAAAAACAAAGGTGGCACCCCAATTCCAAGAAATCTCTACCTTTTTTTTTTCTTGAAATCCTCATTATTCTACCCCCTAATTAGGAGCAGCATAAAATTAGAAGCCCAAACTCTGAATTCTTTCTTGAAGCAGTATCAAGAACCTGGAACACAGGCAGGGACTTGGGTCTCATTGGCATCTGGAGACCCTCCTAAGCCCTCCAGCAACAATACTGCATGCAGGAGCTGGTCCCCTCTCTAACCACTGGCTTCCTGCATCGCAGCTACACTGACGGCTTCTCGTTCTTCCAGAACTCTAAAGCCGCCTGTGTCCTCCGTTCTCTACAGGTACTGTTTCCTCTGCCTAGATTTCTCCTTCCACTCACGTTGTTAACCGCAATCTTCAGCTCAAACCCTATTTTATAACAGATGCCTTCCTGGACCCTTTCAACTTGGTGAACTACACCTGCAATATGGTCACATAGCTTTCTAAAATGTTCTTTATAATTGTAAATTTATTTTTTGAATTATTTAGTCTGTCTCCGTCATATCTCGCCCTAGGTTTCCCCAGAGCAGAAGAGAAAAAGACTTGTGTGCAAGTAGTTTAATTGAAAATGGATTCCAGGGAATAGGAGTGAGAGGCCAGACTGAAATAAGTTAAATCAGGGAAGTAAGAAAGACCACTATGGACTTAAATGTGTTCCCACTAGGGCTAATAAGAAACTTGATGAAATGCGTCCCTGAACTGTCTGGCTTGCAGATGACAGAGGAAATCATTTATTTATTGGCTCCATTCTCTTTGGTCCAGGGTAAGCCCATAACATCTGTGCCTAAATACTATTTTGCAAAGAAAAAAAATGCTGACTAGATCCCCATGGGGTCCTATTCCCTGGTAAGGGAATTTGGGGATGGGAATTGGGAAGGTGGAAGTCCAAGGTAAGGCACTGTTAGTTTGCACCTGTCCTAAGTTCTACCACAGCCACAGCAATGGTATGAATAAAA
The DNA here is from genome assembly GCF_000001405.40 of Homo sapiens. NCBI lineage: Eukaryota > Metazoa > Chordata > Mammalia > Primates > Hominidae > Homo > Homo sapiens. The sequence continues at coordinate 249,461 of NW_021160014.1, forward strand.
GGTGGGGCTGAGGGATTTATAAATGGGGCATAGGAATTATACCTTCCCAGGATATTAGAGCAGATATATGATTATCTTTCTAATTATTATATAGTTATCACCTCGCTTAATGTCTGGCATATAGTAAACACTCAATAAATCTTTTTAATAATCAGTACAGTATAGAAATTTCTTTGGCCTCCAAATTTATGGGCTATTATATTATATTTGATTATTATTTTCTGTTTAAAAAGAAACAATTTGGAGTACACAAAACAGTAGTTTCATCTGGCTCAGAGTTTAATGGTATCAAAGTTTTCTCTCACTCACGAGGAAAAATACAATGCTGCCACCTTAGCTTATCAATATCAAGGATTGAATATGGACATTTCAATAGTATTCTGAAGCAAGCAACCCTACACCTTGCCAGGGTGATTGGGGGCAGTTAAATAGATAATGAGGGAGTATATCAAATGACAACTGTGTACAGACACCTGGGTAAAGAATACATTTAAAGGAGATATTCATTATATAATATTGTACTTTTTATTTCTTATATTTTCAACTTTTATTTTAGATTAAGGGGTACATGTGAAGTTTAGTTACATGGGCAAATAGCTTGATGCTGAAGTTTGGGCTACAAATGATCCCATCACCCAGTGATATGGTTTGAATTTGTGCCCCCTCCCAGATCTCATGTCAAATTGGAGGAAGGCCCTGGTGGAAGGCAATTGGATCATGGGGGCAGATTTCTTCCTTGCTGTTCTCACGCTAATGAGTGAGTTCTCATGAGATCTGATGGTTTAAAAGTATGTGGCACTTCCCCCTTCACTCTCTCTGTCCTACTGCCAGGTAAAGACGGTGCTTGCTTCCCCTTCATCCTTCCACCAAGGTTGTAAGTTTCCTGAGGTCTCCCAGTCATGTTTCCTGCTAAGCCTGCAGAACTGTGAGTCAGCTAAACCTCTTTTCTTCATAAATTACCCAGTTCAGGTAGTTCTTTATAGCAGTGTGAGAATGGACTAAAACACCCAGTTAGAGAGAACAGTATCCAAGAGTTATTTTTCCAGCCCTTGTCCCTCCCTCACTACTCCCTCTGGTAGTTCTCAGTGTCTGTTCTTGCCATGTTAATATCCACAACTACCAAATGATTGATTCTCACTTATAAGTGAGAACATATGGTATTTAATTTTCTGTTTCTGTAGTAATTTGCTTAGGATTAATGGCTTTCAGCTGCATTCATGTTGCTGTAAAGAAAATTGTGTTATTTTTTCATGGCTGCATAGTATTCCATGGTGTAAATATACCATGTTTTCTTTCTCCAGTTCATTGTTGATAGGCAGCTAGGTGGATTCCATGATTTTTTTAATGTGAATAGTGCTGCAGTGAACACATGAGTGCATATTGTGTGTCTTTTTGGTACAACGATTTATTTTCTTTTGGATAGATACCCAGTAATGAGACTTCTGGGTCAAACAGTAGTTCTAAGTTCTTTGAGAAATCTTCAAACTGCTTTCCACAGTGGCTGAACTAAATATATTCCCACCAAAAGTGGATAAGTGTTCCCTTTTCTCCACAGCCTTGCCAGATGATCTGTTGGTGTTCTTTTTTTTTTTTTTAACTTTTGAATAATCGCGATTCTGACTGGTGTGAGATGGTATCTCATTGTGGTTTTGATTTGAATTTCTCTGATGTTTAGTAATGTTCAGCATTTTGTAATATGCTTGTTGGCTGCTTGCATGTTTTATTTGAGAACTGTTTGTTCATGTCTTTTGCCCACTTTTTAATGGAGTTGTTTTGTTTTTGTTTTTGTTTTTTGAGACAGAGTCTCAGTGTCTTTTGCCCACTTTTTAATGGAGTTATTTGTGTTTTCTTATTAAGTTCTTTATAGATTCTCTACAGTAGACCTTTGTCAGATGCATAGTTTGTTAATATTTGCTCCCATTCTGTAGGTTTTCTGTTCAGTCTCTTGATAGTTTCTCTCACTGTGCAGAAGCTCTTTAGTTTATGTAGGTCCCATCTCTCAATTTCTTTTTTGTCACAATTGCTTTTGAGGATTTAGTTGTAAATTATTTTCCAAGGCTGATGCCCAGAGTGATATTTTCTAGAGTTTTTTCCAGAATTTTTATAGCTTCAGGTTTTACATTTACATGTCTGATCCATCTTGAGTTAATTTGTGTATATGGTGAAAGGTAGGGGTCCAGTTTCATTCTTCTGCATATAGCTAGCCAATTATCCCAATACTGTTTATTAAACATGAAGTCCTTTCTTGATTGCTTATTTTTATCTAATTTGTCAAAGATCAGATGGCTGTAGGTGTGTGGATTTACTTCTGGGTTCTGTATTCTAACCTATTGTTCTATATGTCTGTTTTTGTACCAGTACCATGTTGTTTTGGTTACTGCAGCCTTATTACTATAAGTATATTTATATAAGTATATAAGTATAGTTTGAAGTCAGGTATTATGATGCCTCTATCTTCGTTCTTTTTGCTTAGGATTGCTTTGGTTGTTTGTGCCCCTTATTACATATGAATTTTGGAATCATGTTTTTCTAGTTCTGTGAAAAAATAATGTTAGCTGTTTGATAGGAACAGCATTAAATCTGTAGATTGCTTTGAGCAGTATGGTAATTTTAATGACATTTATTCTTCCAATCCATGAGCATGGAATATTTTGCCATTTGTATGTGTTATATGTGATTTATTTCAGCAGTGTTTTACAGTTCTTCTTATAGAGATCTTTCACTTCCTTGATTAGATGTATTTCTAGGTAATTTAGTTTGTTTGTGGCAACTGTAAATGGGATTGTGTTCTTGATTTTGTTCTCAGCTTGAATGTTATTGGTATATAGAAATGCTACTGATTTTTTTTTTACAATGATTTTGTATCCTGAAACTTTACTGAAGTCAATTTATTAGTTCCAGGTGCCTTTTGGGTGAGTCTTTAGGGTTTTTCAGGTATAGAATCATGTTAGCCACAAAGAGAGAGTTTGTTTCCTTCTGTTCTTGTTTGGATTCCTTTTACTTCTTCCTCTTACCTGATTGCTCTGGCTATGACTTCCAGCATTATGAAGACTGAGAGTGATAAGTGTGGGCATTATTGTCTTGTTCCAGTTCTTAGTGGGAATAGTTCCAGCTTTTGTTGGTTCAGTATGATGTTGGCTGTGAGTTTGTCAGAGATTATTCTTATTATTTTGAGGTATGTTCCTTTGAGGCCTAGTTTGCTGAGAGTTTTTAACATGAAGGTTTATTGTATTTTTTCAAAGACTTTTACCATGTCTATGGAGATGATCACATCATTTTTGTTTTTAATTCTGTTTTTATGGTGAGTCACATTTATTGTTTTGTGACTGTTGAACTAAACTTGCATCCCAGAAATTATGTTTATAAGCGTGTTTCTATGTTAGTCGGTATTGTTGTTTTGTTTCCATGTTTTGAACTTTCTTAAGCAGTGGTCCCCAACCATACCTGGGACCAGTTTCATGGAAGACAATTTTTCCATGGATTGTGGGGGCTGTGGGGTGGATTATGGTTCTGGGATGAAACTGTTCCACCTCAAATCATCAGGCATTAGTTAGAGTCTCATAAGGAGCACACAACCTAGATCCCTTGCATGTGCAGTTCACAATATGGTTTGTGCTCCTATAAGAATCTAATGTCATTACTGATCTGACAGGAGGTGGAGCTCAGGCAGTAAGGTGACTACCTCCTGCTGTGCAGCTCAGTTCCTAATAGGCCATAGACTGGTACTGTTTTCTGGTCCAGGAGTTGGGGACCCCTGCTCTTAAGGTCTCTTATAAGGCTGGTCTTATGGTAATGAATTCTCTTAGCACTTACTTGTCTAGAAAAGGTTTTATTTCTCCCTCACTGATGAAGTTTAGCTTGGTGGGATACGAAATTCTTGGTTAGAATTTCTTTGCTTTAAGAATGTTGAAAATAAACCCCCAATATTTCTTGGCTTGTGAGGTTTTTGCTGAGAAGTCTGCTGTTAGTCTGATGGGGTTCCCTTTGTACATGATCTGGCTTTTTTTCTTTAGTTGCCCTTGAGATTTTTTCTTTAGCTTTGATCTTGAACAGTCTGGTGACTCTGCCTTGTTGGTGTTTGTTTTGTATAGTATCTTGCAGGTGTTTTATGCATTTCTTGTATTCAGATGTCTACCTGTCTATCAAGATTAGGAAAATTTTCTAAAAGTATTCCCTCAAATGTGTTTTCCAGGTTGTTTATTTTTCCTCCTTCTCTCTCGGAAATGCCAATAATTCCTAAGCTTGGTTGCTTTACATAATCACATATTTCTTGAAGATTTTGTTCATTTTTTACAATTCTTTTTTTTTTTTTGTCTAAGTTAGTTTGAAAGATCAGTCTTCAAGCTCTGAAATTTTTGCTGAAATTCTTCAGTTTAGTCCAGTCTATTGATAAAGCTTTCAATTGTGTTTGAAATTCCTCAAGTGAGTTTTTCAATTCCAGAAGCTCTGATTCATTTCTTTTTAAGATGTTTATCTCTTCCTTTATTTCCTGGATTTATTTAGAAGTTCCTTTGTGTTGACTCTAAAACTTGTCTTGGTCTCTTTCAGCTTCGTGCAATTCATGGTTTGAGTTCTTTATCTGTTATTTCTGAATTTCTCTTTTGGTTAGGGACCATTGCTGGAGAGCTAGTGTGATCCTTTGGAGATATCACTACAATCATACTTTTTATGGTGCCAGAATTCTTGTGCCGGTTTCCTCTCATCTGGAGACACTGGTACTTCTGATTTTTGTAATAATTTTTGTTTGGATAGGATTTTTAATTTTTCTTTTTTTATAATATTATTATTTTTTCTTTTACTTTCCCTTTCACCATCCCCTCTCCAGGTGGTGTGACTGTAGAAAATACTGGGTAGGGTATTTTGGCATTGCTTCTATAGCCCTATGAACATCTTTGAGCAGGTTTTATATTAGGCTGTGCAATTCAATCTATAAGCCAGTAGATTGCACTTATAGGTAAGAGCCAGTTGCAGCCAATGTAACTAGATATACACATTTGACTTTTGTTTACTGGGAGAAGCTCTCTATTGCCTCAGTCAGTGGGGTGATCCATGGAGTGTACAGTGGTCTGAGCTACCTGCTCAGCCCTTGGGTGGGGCAGGAGGGGCATAAGATGGGCCAGACATGGCAGGTACCCCAATGGCAGGCACACACACCAGTGCACAGTGAGTATCCAGTAAGCAATGACAGAGCACCCAAAGGTGTGCCTATGCATGGAGACAGAAAAACTTCTTGACTCCAAGGTCTTAGAACAAGCAATGGGAGCAACTTAAACTCTGAGTCCAGGATAGTGTGTGATTCAGATGACTTGAGATTGGCCTATGCATTAAATATAGATGGCCATTCTGCAACACAATCTCTGCATAGGAAAGGTGAGGCAGCCCAGGCTCGAAATCCAGGCAAACAGGTGTTCTGACTGCTTGAGTATGAAGCAGAGAGGGCCCTGCTGCATTACAATCTGTTCAGGAAAAGTGGGGCAGCTCAGACTGCCAATATGGGCAAGGAGGTGATTTGAATGCCTGGAGATCTGCCTGGACTTGGAGTGGAGAAGCCCTTGCCCTACATCAGATTCTCTGCACAGGAAGAGTGGAATGGCTCAGGCTGCTGAACCAGGCAAGTAGGTGCTCTGAATGACTACAGATCTGCCTGGGCATGAAACAGAGAGGGCCCCACTGCACCACAATCTATGCACAGAAGATGGGCCAGACATGGAAGAGAGGGGCAGATTAGGCTTCTGATCAAGGTGAGCAAGTTCTCCAACTACCTGGAGATCTGCCTGGATGTAAAGGCCCCCCTGCACCAATATCTCTGTACAGAAAGAGTGGGGCACCTCAGGTTGCTAGTCCATGCAAGCAGGTGTTCTGAATGCCTAAAGCAAGCATTTAAAAGAACTGAAAAACAAGAGAGAGAAGGATAAACCCCAATAACAACAGAGAAATATAATAGCTTTTCTACACAGAACTTGTAAATAAACTTGGCAAACTTCAAATAGTCTCTGTAATCACATGATTCTGTTTTCTGCTCATCGAAGAGAATTTCTTGCCCCTACTTTCTAAATTAGCAAGCCGTTCCTTGTTATTTCAAACTCTATCACCTTATTTTTCTCTATATTTGTTGTTGGTGCTTATCCTCACCTAACATACTCTACATTCAGTTATTAATTTATTGTTATTAACTACAACATAGTAATTATTAATTTATTGTCACTAGACTCCGAGCTTCATGGAACAGGCAGTTTTTCTGCTGTACTAGCTTCAAAGCCTAGAACAGATATTGGCATAAAATAGTAACTCGATCAATATGTAAAGAATAATTAACCCAACGAAATAATTCATGCATCAGTCTAGAGCAGGAGTTGGAAAATTACAGCCTGGCTCCTGCTTTTGTAAATAAAGTTCTATGGGAATACAGCCATATTCATTTACATATTGTCTATGGCTACTTTCTCACAACAACAACAAATTGGAGTAATTATGATAGACCATATGGCCCACAGAGCTGACAATATTTACTATCTGAACCTTTACAGAGTAAGCGTTCTGTTTTAGAGTCCTAGCACACAAAAAGTCAGAATTTATAATTATAATTCTCATTTTCTAAAAATCATATCACAGATGCAGACTTTTAACTATTTTTACTTTTCAGTACATGTATATATGCTTATGTATTTTTTGATATTTTTCTGAATGCCATATAAATGATATCATAACTTCTGTTCTTCTCTGATATAAATTAATTTTCCCCATGCCTGTTAACTCTTCTTAAGGGGAAGAGCTGTAAGCTAAAAAACAAAATTGTGTAAAATTTCCTAGAAATATGTCTCCAAATTTAGATATAGAAGATGTTTTATTCTAGTTAAAGCACTGCCATTAACTAGATGTGTAATCTTACATCGTGTAACTACCTAGAACGACATATTTTCTTGCCTGAAAAATGTGTTAGATTAATTTTAAGATGTTTCTGGCTCTAAAATTCTTATATTAATGATTATCCATATAAACATTGAGGATATAACTTTTGAGGACAAACAAGAAAGTAGTTCAGTTAAAACAGTTCAATTTATTTGTTCTCAAAAAATTGTAAAACTGAGAAAAAACAAAAGGCATATATTGGTTTAATATTCTTTCTGTATCCAGCTGACAGAAAGAATGTGACAAAGAACTAGACAGGACTGGGATTATAGTTATTGAACTGGACTGATGGAGTCTTGACATTGTACAAATTAAGACTGAATAACTCAGATTTCTGTATTGTACTGTGAAGTATTGTGATTGATTCATCTTGAACTATAAGAGTCATCTTATTTTATTTTTGAAAGTATGTTAAGGAAGTTTGGGGTTCTTGTTATTCTAACAGAATGTCCATTTCCATTTTCAGTTAGTTATTCTGTGGAAGGAATGTGAATGGTATTCATACTGAAGAACGAGATTCCTCCTCTTTTTGACTGAAGACAGTTTAGGGTGAAGCATGAAAATTCTTATTAATGAGAATTGATTTACCCCTGCCAGGTGAAAGCTTGCTAGGTGTGGGGTTTGTAACCTGAGGCCAGGTTGAAGCAGTGGTCACTCTTAATAGAAATCATTATCTATTTGTCCTCCTTCCCCAAGTTTTCCTCAAAATCTTATTAACTGTTATAAATTTATATAACTTGTTTCTGACAGAAGATGTTATTTATGCTTCTGGGGTGCTAAACACTCTCCCCAAGACTACAGAATCAGCTGCATTCACCCATAGAAAAAAAAAGCTTTGTCAGTAGACTTGCTAGCTGGAAAAAGCTGTTACTTTTTCTGTTATACTGTTAGAGAGTGAAGTGTAAGAAACAAAAAAAGACCCATCCCTGGATCAAATCCTGGTTCTATCATTTCTTTCAACTATGGCCAAAGTAGTGGTCAATTCAGTTTCTTCATTTGTAAAGTTAAGATAATAATTATACTTGCTTCATAAGGTTGTAACATATTAGAAGATATTATTGTAAAAATTACGTAGCCTAGTGCCTAGACAAGGCAAGTGCTCAATAACTAAGGTACATATTTTTCCAGTCATTATGATATTTTCTGTAGACAAAATGATTTGTGACTTAGGGATATAATATTCAAGAAACAGGAAGAAAAAACTCTATGGAGTCAGATATGAGACAGCAAACAAGTTTGGCCTGAAAAGAGGGAAGATAAAGCTAGCTATAGACCATTAGACATGGAAGAGAGCAAACAAGTTGAACCTAGGAAAATGCTCTTAAGTATCCAAAACTTGGAAAAAATCAGCAGCACCATTTTGGAAGGCCACAGGAGAGGCCACATATTTTAAGAAATGAGATGTGTTTGACTTTAGATAATGATGTAATGGGGTGTTTAAAAAGTGAAGTGAAGATACAGTAGAGTTTAGAAAATTGCCATTTCAAAAGGATCAAGGGAGCAGTGTTTAAAATTTGGCAATGCAGCAGTCAGAATAGTGTCCAGTTCTTAGCTTTGCCAATTACTAAATGTACAACCATGGATAAGTTACTTAAATTCTCTAAGACATAATTTTCTCACCTGTACAAATGGCAACGATATAATAATATATAAGTTTGTTGGGAAGAGTCAATGAAATAAAAAGTAAAACTTGTTGGTACTGAACTAGTACTCAACAAATAGCCACCATGATAATATTATAATTTTAATAATTATATATTACTCTTATTATCAGTTGCTATTTTCAGTATATTAAGTTTGAGAAGGATAGAATTAGTAGGTTATTACATAAGGAATATGAGGCTCAGAAACATATAAATCAGAGAGTTTATATATGACCTCAGGGACTTATCTGATTGTGTAAATGACAAAGAGATAAAACAGAGTTCAAATATTAGCTTGAGAGTTTCAAATAAAACACTGGTTACTTAAAAAAAAATCCTAAAAGTTGACCATAAATATAAATGTAAACCCTAAGACTATGAAAACTTCTAGAAGAAAACGGGATAGAAAATCTTGGAAACATACGATAGGCAAAAAGTTTCTTAAAACTCAAAAAGCATGAAACACAAAATACAAAAATTATTGCTCTGTGTTACCTACCCGAATGAGTTGAAAACTTTGATTCCCACAAAAACCTGAATACGAATATTCACAGATTTATTTATAATTGCCAATCTTAGAATCAACCAAGATGTTCTTCAGTGGGTGAATGAGTAAACTATAAGACATCCAGAAAATAGAATATTATTCAGTAGTAAAGAGAAATAAGCGATCAAGCTATGAAAAGCAAAATGAGCCAATTTAACAAGCTTACATACTATATAGTTCCAACTATGTGATATTCTGGAAAAGGCAAAACTATGGAGACAGAAAAAAGGTGGAATGGAGAGCGATGACTAGGCAATGCACAGAAGATTTACTCTGTGCAGTAAAAATATTCTGTATGACATTATGATAGTAAACACATGTGACTGGGCATTTGTTCAAACCTACAGAAGGTACAACACCAAGAGTAAACCCTAATGTAAACTATGGACTTTGTGTGATTATGATGTAGATGTACATTCATCAATTGTAATAAATGTACCACTCTGGTTGGGGAAGTAAGTAATGTGTGTGTGTGTGTGTGTGTGTGTGTGTGTGTGTGTGTGTGTGTGTGTGTATAGTGTATTTCATATATATATTATATATACACTATATATATACATATATACCCTATATATAGTGTATTTCTATATCTATATAGCTATATATATATAATGTATTTCAAAGAGAAAATTCTTAGTTATGGTAAAGTCCAAAATATGAATTTTAAAGACATTACTCTTTAAGAGCAGTTTTAGGTTCACGGCAAAATTGAGAGAAAGTTACAGAGATTTCCTATATATTCCCTTCTCAATTTTGCTGTGAACCTAAAACTGCTCTTAAAGAGTAATGTCTTGAAAATTCTATATTGGACTTTATCAAAACTAAGAATTTTCTCTTTGAAATACACTATTAAGAAAATGAAAAGGCAGGTCACATATTAGAAGAAAACATCTCACATATATAAATGAACTTTTATTCATAATATGTAAAAACTCTTACAACTCATAATAAGACAAACATATAATAAAACATAGGTAAAATATTTGAAGAGTCACTTCACAAAAGAAGATATATGAATTACCAAAAGTATATGAAAAGATTTTCAACAACATTTGTAATCAAGGAAATGTGAGATAAAATCATAATGAGACACTACTTCTTTAGAATGACTAAAATAAAACAACACCATTCCAGGTGTTGGTAAAGATATGGAGGAAATAAAACTGGAATTGGTAGGACTGTAAAATGGTACAATCAGTTTGAAAGAGAGTTTGGCAGTTTCTTAGGAAAATAAATATAAACCTACCATACAATCTATTCTGCTTCTAGAAAACAGAATAGAAGCAGAAAAGAAACAATAACATATGTCCACACAAAGACTGTATTTGCATGTTCACAGATGCTTTACTTTTAAGAACCCCAAACTGGAAACAACCCATATGTCCACCAGCAAGTGAATGGGCAAGCAAACTTTGGTATATCCATAAAATGGAATAATACTTTTCAATAGAAAAGTATAAACTACTCATATATTTAACAACATGGATGAAAGTTGAAATTATTATTATTAAGTGATACAAACTAGAGCAAAAATTAAAATGTACTGTGTCATCCCATTTATATAAAATTCTACAAAATGTAAACCAATTTATAGCCACAGAAAACAAATCACCATTTGTCCTGGAACTGGTGTGGAAAAAGACAGGTCAGGAGTGCTTACAAATGAGGGTATGAAAACCTTTGGTGCTGATTGCAGTAATGGTTTTATGAGTTTGTATTAGTCCATTGTCACACTGCTATAAAGAACACTACCTGAGGCTGGGTAATTTATAAAGGAAAGAAGTTTAATTGACTCATAGTTCTGCATTACTGGGGAGGCCTCAGAAAACTTACAGTCATGGTGGAAGGTGAAAGGGGAAGCAGGCACCTTCTTCACAAGGCAACAGGAGAAAGTGAGTGCAAGCAGAGAAAATGCCAGAAGCTTATAAAACCATCAGATCTCACTATCAGGAGAATAGCATGGGGGAAACCACCCCCATAATCCAATCACTTCTCCCCTTTGACAGGTAGGGATTACAATTCAAGATGAGAGATGAGATTTGTGTGGGGACATAGAACCAAACCATATCAGAGTGTATAAGTATGTCAAAACTCAACAAATTATGGCCCTTAAGTATGTGTAGTTTATTGCATTTCAGTTATACCCCAGTAAAGTTTAAAATAAACTTTAGAATTAAAATAATGCAGTGAGAGTCCACTGGACACTCAGTGATACTGGTATCATTGACCTGTTCAGTAAGAGCTGAGTTTGACGTGTGCAAAACCTCCAAGACAAATTGATGTTCAGATACCTTGAATTGTCAGTAGTCTATTCTCTAGTTGCTTTTGTGTGCAGTCTTCATATTCTGAATTTTTTAAAAGAAGATGTTTAGTTGTTTTGTAATCAGAAAAAACATGTCTTCAAGACATAGAAGTTTTCAGTTGTTGCCCCTTTTAGAATACATCATCTACCTTTTTAGAAATTGCTAGAAGAAAAGTATTTCTTATATATTTTGAAAGGAATAAGACTAAAATATTTATGAGAGGACTTTCCCATAAAAGTCCTCACCCATCTTAGAAAATTGCTTGATTTTCCTTCCTCCCACCACAGAAAATGGGTAGAAAAGTGTAATTTATAGTTTCTTCTTTCATAATAATATTGTATACTCCTCATAATTTATGTTCAAATAAATAACACAAGATTTTTTAAGTGTTTTCCTAAATTTTTGATTGAGTTTGTAAAAATATCTGCCTATACAATAGTAATAACTAGGAACTTACCTTAAGAAGAAACTTTCCGTGCCATTCATTGAGAAGTCTACGTGAATGTTGGTAGATTCCTGGAGAGCAGTGGCATGCAGGAAAATCTTTGTGAGCAGCCAGGAAACTAACTGAAGAACAGTGGAAATCAGCTATAGCCACTGAGAATATGAAATCCAACATAAAAAAGTAAAAAAAAAAAAAAAAGATATCTCAGCAAAAACAAACTCTACTAACCGGCATTTGCTGACATTTTCTTAGATAAATACTGTGAAGTATTAATCAGTATGTACTTGGTTGGATTTGGGCTGATTAGAAGCTTTCCTATTGTTTATTTGAAGTCTTATAATCTAGGTTTTTAGTGAGAACAGGTTATAAGGTATTTCTCTATAATTTTAAATATGAGTGGCATTGTTTTTGCATCAGAAAATGGCATCTTGCAGTGGTTAAGAATTTTTTAAAATATTTGCAGGTCTTATTTAACACACACACGTTTTAGCCTCAGTCAGAACTCTTTAATCAAGTATTTTTGGGGCTATTAAGGTTTTAAACATAGTAACTAATACATACATTTAAAGAAAAATAACCACATCATTTGATAAAAGCTATCCCCTGGTTAACAAAAACTCACCATATGAAATGTCTCCATATTTTTCACTTTAAACTACCTGAAGCTTGACAATAAAACTTTTTTTTAAGATTTCATCAATAAGTAAAGTTCTTGTGACTAGGCTAAAAAGTGAAACATATTTTCTGTCCGTGGCTAATTGATTGAAGTGAATAATATCCCTAGTCTGTAGGTGCTCTGTTTCTTCCAATAGAACATTGTACATACAACTTACAGAGCTTCAGGATAATTCACAACCACATTCACAACAATTCGCAACATTCACAATGTCCATGAAACCATTTTAGTTTTTATTTGTCTAGAAAGGGTCTTACTATATATTAGCGGATATGTGCTATTAATAGATGTCATTGGAACTATGTAGAGTCCTGTATTTGGGCATGTGTATCAATCAAGGAAGCAGAAATCATTCACTTTAAAGTCTTAGAAATAGAGGATTTTTAATGAAGGTAAATGATTACACTGAAGATGGAAGAGCCAAGGGACCAAACAAACCCAAAATTATGAATAATAGGAGGTACTACTCTTGCTAGTCCTGTAGGGACAAAAAGCAGATTTTGCTATCAGAGTTGAAAAATCGGAGCCATTTGGCAGAGTTGAGGCCCAGGAAGAGATGCTAGGTGCCACAGCAAATGGTGGGATACCTAAGTTGCTCCCCTACTCTTACCCCTCCCAATTTCCACTGGCGCTTCCTGCTGGTGAACTTCCCACAAATCCAGAAGGCAGTTTCCTGTTAGCAGTGTAGGGCATTGGTAGAGAACAAATCTGAAAGCAAAACAGGTAGTCTATTTAGCCAGCATGCACATGAGAAATGAAGTTAGTACACATAGATGAGGAGAAAAAAAGTAATAAGAATCATAGCATTTGGCTTATATAAATCATATTATGGTATGAATTCTCTTAAGTGCTACAGAAGCATCACAAGCATTGGAAGGGATCAGTGAAGAACAAATTACAATATATACTGCCTCTTTTCTCTGTAACAGGGGTGGCATTAGAAATTAAGCATTACACAACTGCTGGGGTTGGATACCAAATAATCACAATCAGCCTGGGAAAAAAATAAGATTTCTCAATGAGAAATTGTTATTATAACTAATTCTGATAAAATTTGAGATAAGTTGGCCTTATAAAGGCCTTGGCTCCCATTTTTGCAGGCTGTACAAGAAGGTATGGTGTAAGCGTCTGTTTCTCGGGCTTCAGAAAGCTTCCACTTATGGCATAAGGTGAAAGAGAGTAGGGATCATATGGCAATAGAGGAAGAGCATGTGGAGAGAGGTGTCAGGCACTTTATAAGAATCAGTTCTCCTGGGAACTAATAAAGTGAGAACGTACTCTGCCTCCATGAGCCAAACACCTCCCATTAGGCCCCACCTCTAATATTTAGGATCAAAATTTAACATGAGATTTGGAGGGGACAAATGTCCAAACTATATCACTTACCAAACTTAAAATATGTGCTGAAATTAAAGAGACAAATTAATTTTCTACTAAAAATATCTAGAAAATTATTTAATATTTCATGATTCTTTAGCTAGAAATTAACATGATTCATTTTTATTATGTACTTTTTCATATTCTCTTAAAGTGCATCCTGAAAAAAGTGATGAACCTTGTTCAAAATAGTGATATATTTAAAATTTCTTTCAGTAAATTAGGGACCACTTAATTTTGGCCAAGGTTTATAAATTGCTTTGAAATAAAACTACACTTTTCAGGCATAGTGTCTTGGGAAGATTCACAGTTCACAAAATAAATTTCTATTCTCTTCTATTAACTATCTCTAGAAAAGCAATATTTTCACTATGGAATAAGTAAACTGACACATCATTCACCTAGTAATATTATATTAAGGAATATTTTAATGTATTCAGAAAGTTTTTTTTATTTAAAATTGATTAGTTTTATTTTAGGATGTCATCTCTGAAAAGCAAAGAGTTGCATTTATTTGCCTATGGATAAAACAATCCAATCATCAGCTCTTTCAATTATAGGCTAACAAACATGAAGCTATTTGGAGAAAATACTTTCAAAATTTTTCTTCTTGGGTCTAAATAATTGGGGTTGTTTTATTACAATGTAGGTTTAATCTTCCCTTCCACAGATGATTGGCTTGGTCTTCCACTTTTTGCCTGAATGTTTCAGCCCCATCTCTATTCAGCATGTGTTCCAGAAAATGGAGGAAGTTAGTTTTTCTATATAAGTTAAGGCTTGCAAATTAGCGGCCCACAGTTGTGCTGTTTGGCCCACACACAGTGCAGAGGAAAAAATCTTTGATTCAAAGCTAGAAACTTGGGAATTC